>NC_000009.12:32737272-32888787 GCF_000001405.40 Homo sapiens | reverse complement strand
AAGTTTGGTAAATGTTCTTTACTTTTACATCAGTGAAAATATGCTGTATATTTAGATTTGCATTCCGATTCTCCCTTATCTTTTCTTCTGAGTTAGTCTGTATCAACTCTTGGCAAAGTCATGAGGCTGTTATTACATTGTTATTTGTGTGTGCACATATACAGGCATGCACACATGTACACGCACACATATACATGCACACACACTTTCTCTCTTTCTTTCTCTCCAACTGGTATCTTAGGGTAGGATCAGGTACTGAACTCCCAGCTCCTCTACAGCCTGACTCATAACACTCAACTTTTGGGCTCTCTTTTATTAAACAGTTACTTTTTTTCCTACCTGTTCTGTCCCCTCTTCTCAACCTTTATGGATATATGTGGTTTCTGGTTGATTAAAGGAATTATTATATGACGTCTAAAGCCTGACTTTAAATTGGATAACAGGTAACACTGAACACATATGAGGAAGGCCCCCTTCTCATGATTGCCTCATTGGTCCACTTCCTC
This sequence comes from Homo sapiens, assembly GCF_000001405.40. Classification (NCBI taxonomy): domain Eukaryota; kingdom Metazoa; phylum Chordata; class Mammalia; order Primates; family Hominidae; genus Homo; species Homo sapiens. The sequence continues at coordinate 32,888,281 of NC_000009.12, read as the reverse complement.
TCATATTTGGGACCTTGGTCTCTACCCTTCCCCGATCTTAGCTCTATTGCTTATTCTTAAGAGCCTTCAGCCTCCATAGATTGCTAGGAAACAAGGTCTGAGCACCCAAAGAGAATTTCCTGTTATTCTCTTGTACAATGACAGTGAAGAGATTTGATAAAAGCTGAGTGAATTTTTAGTCTAGGATGTTCTGTTCTTAAGCTATAATTGCTGTTTTTTCCTTTATCTCTAGAAGTGATCCTGCCAGACAAAAGAAACTTTGTTTTCATAAGTGTATTATTATTTTATCAAAAATTTCTCCTTTAAAATGCATGATTAAAAAAGGATTTAATCATTGAAGATGGTTTCATTTTGTCTTGGGATTGGTTTTATATGACTCTCAGAGGGGGAAAGTTCACTTTAAAGGTGAACCTTCTGGGATGCATTTATTCTACAAAGTGAGGCACACCTGATCGCAGTAAATATAGAGAAGACCATGAAGTTCCCAATTTAAGAATAATTTAAGATTGAAAAATGTTAAATCGGCTCTTGGTTTTTAAGGTCTACCACCTAAAAATGTGTATTAATCTTCAAAATTTAATATCACTGAGGGTAGCATAAGAGAATAAGGATTAAATGATACTGTGGAAAGATTTAAGTTAGATATTCCAAGCTTTGAAAGATTCAGAGATGCCAGTATCCATCCATGGTCATAGGTGGGAGGAGTTTTATCTTGGAATCTGTAATAAGAGAGCAAATAATCTGTCTCCTTGTTTTACCCCTCCAGGAATCAACCCCATGATTCAGGGTTGTTTCTCTTTAATCAATCATACGCCCTTGGTTTTGAGTATTTTAATCTGGATGAGGGATGTTGTTTTAAGATTAATGGAAAATAAATATGGTTCATGAGCTATATTTTTCTTGCTGCCATGTACTCTCTAATGAGGTAAATTACTTCTCCTTATTCCAGTGGAAAGATCAAGTTCAATGTTTAGTACACCAAACAGCCCTAGGGTATTTATCGTGTATTATATATTTTTTCCTTTTGCTCTACAGCTGCAACTTCATGGATCTGTGCTGAAGATACCCATAGATCCTGGGGTTCCCAGAGCAACAATGCATAAACTAGAAAGAATCAGCTGGAAGGGATGGAATGTACCTTGGTTGTCTGATCCCTTGTTTTATTGCTATTCCCGGTGGTGTTGGTCCACACAGGTGTGACTTCTCTTATTGCCCATATCAGAACTGGAAAGAGGTAAGCTGCCCTGGAAGCCTAAACACCATGCTACCAGCAGAAGGTAAGGAAGCGGAGTGTCTGTTCAGCAGGTCTGAAGGTGACTCTAAGCTCTGTGAAGGCAGAGCTTGCTGTACCCACAGTGCCTAGCACCATTCCACAGGCACCCAATAAGTGCTGTTGAGTTTCTAAAGGTGGTTTATTGTTTCATGGCCAAACTTGTCTCCCTTCTTCAAGGGTCTTGGCTGAGTCTCTACATAGAAGCTCTAGTGATCTCTGCATTACAGCATTCAGAGTTTTTGCCTGGACAACCAGAGATGGTGAAGCTCTGCAGGCCTGGCTGGGTTTTAGAGTCAGGACTGGCTTTGGGAGTACAGGGAAGCCTGCAGACAGCATCAGAGAAGCCAGAGACTAGACCCAAGCTGATCTGAACATCAATCTGAAGGGCTGGGACAGAGGCAAACTCAGGTTTGAAGCACAGAGATGGAACAAGTAGACTTAGAAGATAGGGCAGGTGGTCACCTTGGATAGACTCCAAAGGGCTTGACTGAGACAGGGCTTTTGTGAGGCAAATGCATCCTCATTCAGGATGCTGAGCCTCTGAGAACAGAGTAGCTTTGGGTAGCAGCTTTTTCTACACACACCTTGATGCAGAGCCCCATGTTCCCTACCCTGCCCCCTTTAAGAGCTTGCTTTGTTTCCTGCCTAAGGAAGAGGAACTCTGGAGGTCCTCCTAGAACCCAGATAAAACTCAGGCTTTCATCTTCCCAGCAGGGAAGCCAGTTCTAGAATTGGCTGTGGCTTTGGCAGAGACCATCAGTACTATTGCCTCAATCATCCAGCTCCCCACGACTTCCCGCAGGCCTGAGATTGAAGCCAAGACCCATAGGCCCAGCCCTCTAGAAAGCAGGTTTGTCATCATTACCGGCCCTAGGAATTCACAAGCAGATCCTCCCAGCTTTTCCTCTTGGTGACTTCTGAGGGCATCACAGATGAAGCCTTTGTGCCAGATGGTCTCACGTTAGGCCCTGTGAAAGGAGCACTCACAGAGCCGTTGCACCTTTAAAGAATTGCCCATTTTCGATACCTGGCATATCACTTGAATAGAAGAAGTTTAACAGAATTAACAGTCTGTGTCTGGATGCAAGATGGTTTTAACCTACAATATATTTAGGGTGCTGCCCGTGCACCCCAGGGCTCCTTGAGGCAATTAAAACCGTGCCCTTGGCAATGTGGCTGACTTCAGTGGCTCTTTTGCCAGAGTTACAGCAGTTTCTCATCATGTCTGGAAGAGATTAGATTTGTGTGGTGTGGAGAGAGGACGCTTCTGACAACATGATAGGTCATGTTGGTGGAATTGTGGCAGGACCCAGAGTGCTCCCAGAAACTTCATTTTCTTCCAAACAAATGTAAATGGGGTTCAATTTACTGGTCAAATTCAGCAACTAGAAGAAATTACATAAACTGTGAAGCCACAAGGAGCAATTTTACTAAAAGTTATGTTGGCCTACATGGAGAAATTTAGGCCATGGAAGACTCAGGACCATTTTAAGCTTTATGTAGACTCTTTTGGAGGCATCATCACTTAGATCAAACGAATTAAAATGCACCCACATCTTGAATTAAATGTAAAATTTTCCATAAAAATGTTGAAGGGATTTTTATATTTTTGCCTTTGAAGTTATTTGCCTATACATGATTATTCAATTTACAATTGTCTGTGTCTACTCTCCCGAGTAGGCATAAATCAATCAGTGTGCCTACTCAGGAATTCTTGCAAAACAAGAGAATCTAATCTACAAGTGTTCTCACCTGTAATAAATTTATAAATGAATAATAAATTTAACAATGACATTGACATAATGTTACATTTTTCAGGTAGTTAATTAAATGGCTATTAATTTCAATTTTGTTATCTGTATCTTGGAACCTTTTTTTTTTTTTTCCATAGGCCCCTGAAAAGCAATGGACCCTAGCCACTGAGTTTCGTGTGCCTCACAGATAAAATAGCTCTCAGGGAATTTGACTCTGATGTTTAGCTCAGGAATAAAAGATTTAAAGGGTACAGGATTACTGTTTTCAAGAAGTAGAAGGTCTGTATGTGAAAGAGGGATAAGACAATTCTATGGCACTCCATGGGACTGGAGCAGGTGGCTCTCCAGGGCAACATAACAAAGAGGCTGTCACAGGAGGTGTGTGACCTGGAAGCATCCCCTCCCAGTGTTTTATTGAGGCTGGGAGGTTGCAGAGGGCCAAGGAGTAGAGTCAGAAGATCAGACTTGAAGTCCTCGTGCTGATTATTACTTGTGTGACTTTGAGTAAGTCACTGAATCTCTTTGTATTTCCCTTTCCTTATCTACAAAATGCAGATGTGTCCCCAGCTTGACTTATCACATAGGGTTGCTAAAGATCAAAGTGGGATCATTTCAAACTGTTAGTCAAGTTAATAGTTTCTATACAAACATTCAGCCCTATTCAAGTGTTATATTGGAGTTAATTGGAGTGATAGCTCCAATTCTAAGGATACTAATGGAGCAACTAGTAGTTATAGGATGGAAGGAAATCTTCAAAATGAGTCATTTAAAATTCATTAGTTCTACTGACAATAATCTTCCAGAGCATAAGTGACTCCTAATAAACGTATAAGGAACAAGTAAAATGTATTGGAGAGCCCAGTGCTGTCTATATTTACTAAGTCAAGGCTCTATAAAGACCACCTAATATTATGGCCTTTGAGGTGCAGAAATGAAAGACTAGAATCAACAGGGTTAGAGCTGAAAGGAATGTTGGACAGAGTCCCCAACTCTTATTTGAAACACAGGAAAAGAACATGTAAAGTAGTTGAGTGACTCACAAAATGATTTCTATTTATTTATATTCTGCCTTGTTTCATAAAGTAATTCAAGTGGATTACAAGAATAGATACAATGAAATAGGAAAATCTAAAAAAAAAAACAAAGCTGTGATTATGGAAAATCAAGTATAATGGCTGAGTGAAAGGGGCAAGTGGAATTGCAGTCATAACATGTAGGCTATAAGAACTTCTAAAGGGTTACTAAACATGAACAATAAATTTGACTGTGAGGTTCCTGGTAGCCAAAGCAAAACTGCAAACCAAGTTAGTGACAGAACCAGCATCAAAATTAAGCGTCAGTCCATTTTGCTTTTTGCTCCATTAAAACATTTGTTTTAATTGAGTCTACTTTTATGGTCTTAAAATATTTTTGGGTGTAATGTTCTTTTTCTTTCTCTCCATTTATTCCGTCTGTGGAAATGGCCTGTGTGAGGGAACGCAGAGCTACTCCCTGTACCCAGCTCCTTGGGGAACGTCTACTTTCTGTAAGTGCCTGGGCGATGGCTGCCTTTCCAATCTGCTTGGTCTGTATTGCTTTCGCCATAACCGTTCTGAAAAGATCTAATCAACCCCTCGTGCCAAATTTTCCTTAGTTATTTATTCCTTATGTTTATTATCCTCTGCTAAGATCTGACATCTAGGATCTCAGATCTGAGGTATATGATTTCAGAATTCCCTGTTGTTAAGAGTCCTAGAAATTATGTAACCCATTCCTGTTACTTTACAAAAGAGGAAACTGAGGTGCAGAGATGTTAAATGATTTGTCCAAGGCCACACAGCAGCAACTGACCTTTATTGAGTGCCTACATATGTCTCATTTAATTCTTATAACGAATCCCTGATAAGTAAATGTTGTTATCCTTTTTTTTTACAGGCGAGAAAAATGAGGCACAAAAAGCTGGAGTGCTTTGCCCTAGGTTACAGGCCATTGGCATCTGGATCTGTAGATATTTCTAGATTTCAAATGGATTCTTTGGTCGACCTTCAACACATACGTTAAATCCATGGTTCTCAGCCATGCTATTAAGATGCACTGGTGTGGGGCAATGAGTTGTGAGGTGCCAGTAATTAATAATAGTTAAAGTAATCTGGATTGGTGCACCTGGGAATTTCAGAATTGACAGCTGGGACTTCTTTGCCTCTACCAGAGCCTCAGTGAAGGGAATGGGGCGTGCAGTGCATTCTATTTGTAGCTAAATGGCCTCAATCTTATCTCTGCCCCAAGCAGTAAACTCCAGTGAGAATTTCCTGCCACACTATGTATAGACCTCTGTACTTTTTAATCTTATTTTACAAAAGGCGGAGTATCTGATGTCAAAGACCTTAATGACTAATAGGGAAGAGGGGTGCAGCCTATGCTAAAAGAACAAAATACCCAGACACACAACCATATCAGTGACTACCAACGAAGCTGGTAACTTGAAACTTTGTGGACACTTATGTCATACAGATAAGGATAATCACTCATGGTCCAGTCCAGCACAGAGTCCCATTTAATACATAATAGACCAGTAAATAATAATTATAAGCAGATCAAAGCATTCTTGCTGTCTCTCCTAAAAAATAAAAAACATTATTCTAGAAACTATTATTAGAAAGGCCCAATTACCCCCCAAAACTTATATAGGATGCAGTAGTCCCCTTTCATCTGTGGGGGATACTTTCCAAGACCCCACACCAAGGATAGTACCGAGCCCTCCGTACACTGTTTTTTTTCCTATACATCTAATGTCAAAGACCTTAATGACTAATGGAGGGAGGAGCGCAATGTATGCTAAAAGAACAAAACATACAGACGAAATGCCATGGCAGAACTTCTTAACATTCTAACGCATACCTCTGATAAAGTTTAATGTATAAATTAGGCACAGTAAGTGATTAACAACAATAATAATAACATAGAACAATTATAACAATATGCCAGCATCACTATTCTTTTGCTTTGGGCCCATTGTTAAGTAAAATAAGGGTTCCTTGAACACCAGCACTGCGATACCATGACAGTTGATCTGATAACGGATCTGGCTGCTAACTGACGAATGGGAGCGTCTACAGTGTGCAGACGCTGGACAAAGGGAGGATTCACATCCCGGGCGGGACTGAGTGGGACGGACGAGATTTCATCACGCTATTCAGAATGGTGTGCAATTGAAAACTTATGAATTGTTTATTTCTGAAAATTTTCATTTAGTATTTTCAGACCAGGATTGACCATGGGCAACTGAAATCTTGGAAAGCAAAACTGCAGATAAGGGGGGGCTACCATATTCTGAAACAAAAAGCCCATGGTTTGGCATTTTCTCCCTGGGATTGATAATAGAGCTCTTTGACTGTGGGGGTGGAGTGAATGTGTGTATGTGTGTGAGGAAGACATAGTTCCTTGCAGATTTTAATAAAAGAATGGAGAGGAGTTCCCAAGATTAATAAAGAATGGTTCCAGACTGGGCATAACTCAGGCCAGTAATTCCAGCACTTTGGAAGGCTAAAGTGGGAGGATCACTCGAGGAGCTTGAGACTAGCCTGGTCAACATAATGAGACCCCATCTTTACAAAAAAAATTTAAATCAAAAAATGGAAGAATGATTTCAGGATGGGTGTAATGGCTCAGGCCTGTAACCCCAGCATTTTGGGAGGCCGAGGTGGGATGATTGCTTGAGTTCAGGAGTTTGAGACCAGCCTGGGCAACATAGCAAGACTCTGTCTCTACAAAAATTAAGAATTAGCCAGGTGTGGTGTCATGTGCCTGTAGTCCCAGCTACTTGGGAGGCTGAGGTGGGAGGATGGCTTGAGCCCAGGAGGTTGAGGCTGCAGTGAGCTATGATCACACCACTGTACTAAAGCCTGGGTGACAGAGCAAGATCCTGTTTAAAAAAAAAAAAAAGAATGATTTCAGAGAGGCAGGAGCAGAGAAGAGAGGAAGCACAGCAATAGTTTTTAAAGGGCTAAAACCCAAAATATTTGTCTTTATGTTGAAGCTGAAATGTACAATGTATCAAAATTAAGGATTTTGATAAACCTGAAATAGTTGGGTTATGTTTTAAAAATTGTACTGAATTATCAAATTCTTGTCTTTTCATTTATACAACTTTCTAATTGAGGTCCTTATTAAACCAATTGCAATTGGCTTTACTAACGAGTACTATCATCTTATTTGTAGTCTTACTATAGCTAATGATGAATAATTAAGTATTGATTTTGTGCTGAAGTTTATTAATTTTTACTGTAAAGCATTTAAACTGTATTTTAGTCTTTTTTTTTTTTTTTTTTTTTTTTTTAGTGGTTTCAGTATCAGAAACAAAAGATGTTTTAGGGTAAAAGGTGGATAATGATTTTGTTCATATCAAACAAGGTTTGTAAATAACCAGAATCAGAGTTTTATTTCTAGGGTCCTTACAACTCATGTTCCCAAATGTGGACTCAACATTGGTTGAGATTAGAGTGGTCAGGATCCAATAGCCGAGATTCATGTTATTTGTTCCCAGTAGTCTAAGAGTCTAGTACCCATGGTTTTTCTGCCAAACTCACATTTGATGCCTGGAGAGTATCTTTAAGATTTAGAGAAAGAGGAAAGTTCGACCAGTTGTATACTTGATCCACCTGCTGAGAAATGCTGACTGGTGGCAAAGATGAGTGAAAGAGAACATCTATGTCATACCTCTAACTTTTGCAAGGACATATTAAAGGTTATAGATCTTGTTCTTCCTCTCTTTTTTATAGTAACACTAAAAAAAAAAAATTGAGAAATGAGCAAAAGGTAAAATCTCCCCTTGGAGGCTGATGAAAATTGTCAGATTAGATGGGCTCTTTGGGAATCATTACTTCTTATAATGCTCTGCATATACCCAGAAAAGCACAAGAAATCACATGTCAAGGTCACTCTGCTCAGCAGAAAATTTCCTTAATGCCACGTAATAGTGAGTGAAAAGGGATGCAGATAAGGCTTTGGCCACCAACTCATGAGCACTGCCTGCGTGCGGGCTTCACTTTTTCTGGGAGCCACGTAGCTTCTGTTCAGAGACCCCAGTGCTTTTTATGTATGTATGTATGTATGTATGTATGTATGTATGTATGTATGTATTTTGAGATGGAGGTTCAATCTGTCGCCCAGGCTGGAGCCCAATGGTGCGATCTCGGCTCACTGCAGCCTCTGCCTCCCAGGTTCAAGTGATTCTCCTGCCTCAGCCTCCCGAGTAACTGGGATTACAGGCATCCGCCATCACACCTGGCTAATTTTTTGTATTTTTAGTAGAGATAGGGTTTCGCCATTTTAGCCAGGCTGGTCTCAAACTCCTGGCCTCAGGTGATCCGCCCGCCTTGGCCTCCCAAAGTGCTGGGATTACAGGCGTGAGCCACCGCGCCTGGCCTGACCCCAGAGCTTTTGACAGTGATGGTTGATGCTTTTCTGCTGAAATTCTGTCAGCTTAAACATCCAGCCAGTCTCAGGGTTGGTCCCTCCCAGGTTAGCACCCAGGTTAGCACCCTGCCAGCTTTCCCTTTGGGGTCATGGAAACCTGCTATCCTCAGAAAACCAACAGTGAGGGCTCTGCCGTTTAAGGTAGAAAATCTGTCTTGATCTTCAGAATGATCAGGTCCTCACTCACTGTTTGGGAAGATAATCAGGCTCTCCGCCAAGTTTGAAGAAAAATACTGCCCCAAATTCATATGCAGAGCAGTGAATGATTGGAATGCTTCTAGGAGATTAGCCAGGACGATTCTTACCAAGGAAAGCCATTCGTCAGTATTGCCAGGTTATTTTACTATTCTTGTGGAAAAGGAGGGAATTTATATTTATTGGGTGATTGTGGTGTGCCAAGAGCTGTACTAGACACTTTACATATGTGATCTCGCCCATAGCACAACTCTTTGAGGTGCGTATTATAATCCCCTTGGAAAATGAGGAAACAGGCTCAGAGAAGTTGGCACTTGCCCAGGAACTTAAAAAAAGTAGTGGAGCTGAAATTCTAGCTACCTCTGACTTTGAAGCCTCATTCTCCCTCATGAGGTTCTTTCTGAAAAAAAAAAAAAAAAAAAAAAAAAAGCAAAAATTATGGTTTATCCGATTGGTCTCTTTAGCCCTGCCTGGTGCCCTTCCAGAGCTGTTGGATCATCTAGCTGGGAAGGAAATGTTTAGGTAACAGAAAGTGGTGAGTCCCCTCACTAGAGTTTTGGAGGGATGGCTGATTGATCACAATTTACAGTGTTGTAGAAGAGATTTGTGCATCTGATAAGGCAGTGTGTGCCAGTAGTGGTTTAGGTTCTACTGATGGGAAATTAAAAAAATAAAACCCTTTAATTGTTGTGCATTTTCATGCATACTAGACAAAAATTGACCAGTATATTAGCTTGTGATTTCACAGATACTACTGTTTAAACACAGCTAAGTAAAAATAAATAGACCGGGTGTGGTGGCTCATGCCTGTAATCCCAGCACTTTGGGAGGCCGAGGCAGGTGGATCACCTGACATCAGGAGTTCGAGACCAGCCTGACCAACATGGTGAAACCCAGTCTTTACTAAAAAATACAAACATTAGCTGGGTGTCATGGCACATGCCTGTAATCCCAGCTACTCTGGAGGCTGAGGCAGGAGAATCGCTTGAACCTGGGAGGTGGAGGTTGCAGTGAGCCAAGATCGTGCCATTGCACTCCAGCCTGGGCAACAAGAGTGAAACTCTGTCTCAAAACAAACAAACAAACAAGCTATTTTGCAGAAACGCATGAAGTAAACAGTGGTCCACAGATACTCTAAAAATTGTGATGGTAGCATGTGACTGCCTGACGTTTGGGAATCACCAGGTGGACCTGCTGAATTTAAGGGTCCAGGGGCTTAGTCCAGTCTTGGAGGAACAAGTGCCTATGCACAGACAGGCAGGCACAGGTGGCAGCAGGGGCAGGGAGCCTGGGGATCCAGGTATAACACCACCAGGCAGCTGAGGGAGAGACTAGATTGCAGGCAGCAGAGTTGCTGGGACCAGAGGCCTCTAGAGACTCCACATCTGTGAGAGCCTGTCCTGGTTCCTTCTCAGGAGAAGCAGACATGTAGTGGTGGATGGCATTTAAACAGAGACCCTGGTCTGATCTGAATAACTTGTCGGCTGTGGAAGATGGCTTCATTCTTTCTCTGTTTTTGCCTCTCGGTTAAGAGCTCAGGCTCTGAGTTAATGGGCCCAGTCACTGTTGTGTGACTTTAGTCAAATTACTCACCTGCTCTCAGCTTCACTTTCCTCATCTATAAAATGAGAAGGAGGAGACACTAAAAATATCTCTATGTCCGCAGGTACCATGGCCACAGCCAACACTATAAATAATCCTCTTTGCTCCCTGGAGACTCAGACAGGTGACAAGAAGGGACCTGCAGGCCAGTTTGCACGTGGGGGTGCAGGGGGAGTCATCGGCCAGGACTGGCCTTGGTCCTCTAACAGCTGGGGCATGGCCCAGGGCAATGGAGATCCCGTGCATCCCTGAGTTATTATATACTTCTTCATAGGGTTGTTGTGGAGATACTATAACTAAGCTGTAACTAAAGCAGTGACTGGCTCAATAAATGTTAGTTATTCTTGTTATTATTAAGTGATAGAACTTGTGGGATTAAGCCCTTCTACTACCCAGTGACCTGGGCTTAGTATAGCCAGATATGATATTTTAATCAATATACTACAATATTATTTGAGTCTAATCCTAAGTTAATTTGAGTCCAAGTCCTTGCTTATAATTCTCAAATATTGAGGGAAATTATTACGATTATACTAATAACAAAGCCCCCTATTCTCCTAATCCTCTCATCTTCTCCTCTGGGCCACCTCATGACTCAGGGATGGATGGGGCCTTCATTGCCCTGGGCCATGCCTCAGCTGTTAGAACACAAAGGCCAGTCCTGGCCGATGACTCCCCCTGCACCCTGACATGCAAACTGGCCTGCAGGTCTCTTCTTGTCTCCTGAGTCTCCAGGGAGCATAGAGGGTTATTCATAGTGTTGGCTCTGGCCATGATGCCTGCGGACATAGAGATATTTTTAGAATCTGTTCCCTAGGGTCTGGCTGAAAAGGTCATGCCTATCTTTTTATGCCTAATGTCAACTTCTGAATAAGTAGGAGGAGGAACTCATTTCTGTTAATAGGACACAAGTAATGTCAGGGTTGGGTCCTATTAACAGCATGCGCCCCCCACCCCACCCCGAAACCCAAAGCTGTTTAAAGGAGTTATTATAAAGGAGAGGAGAATGAGGGACTGGGTCAAAGGCTGCCTTGGAGAAGGTTGGTTAGATGAGTTCAGGTAGCATCACGGGGGCTGGACAAGGACCAATGGATGGTTTTGGATTTCATGTTTTCTACTCATCAGAGCTGGGAAAAATGGAATGTTATATTACCAAACAATGAGCACCTCACCTTTGAATGTATTCAAGTGAAGACTGGAAGGCCTCTTCCGGGATGTTGGTGCCTGGGCGTCCTGTGGGTGCAGAAGACTGAATGAGATGGGCTCGCCGGCCCTCCCATGGTTGGGATCCAGTGATTCTGGAGGGGGTGAGGGTAGGAGCTGCATTTCGTGTTTGGGCACTGAATGAGGTGGATGCCAAAAAAATTAACTGGAGTAGCCCTGAAAATAAACCTATCCATCTATCTATGGCCACGTTTTCCTGGGGCTGATTTTGTGTTTCAGTTTTCCCCATGTCTTTCTTTTCTTTTCTTTTCTTTTTTTTTTCTTTTGAGACGGAGTTTCGCTCTTGTTGCCCAGGCTGGAGTGCAATGGTGCGATCTCGGCTCACTGCAACCTCTGCCTCCCAGGTTCAAGTAATTCTCCTGCCTCAGCCTCCCGAGTAGCTGGGATTAGAGGCATGTGCCGCCACGCCCAGCTAATTTTGTATTTTTAGTGGAGACGGGGTTTCTCCATGTTGGTCAGGCTGGCCTCAAACTCCTGACCTCAGGTGATCCGCCCGCCTTGGCCTCCCGAATTGCTGGGATTACAGGCGTAAGCCACCATGCCTAGCCAGTCTTTCTTAATAGTCACAGGGAATTTCATTTGTCTGATATAACGTTTAAATTAAATAGGGTGGAAATACCTGTTTTCTTTTCCCTCCACCCATAAATTTCAATAATAATCATCCTTAGATTTGTCTTGTTGGATCTTAGCCTGTCAGATTGCTTTTTGCACATGAAACTACTGAGGTGGGATGGTTCAGTGACTTGCCTAAATCGTGCAGGGGGTGAGTGGCAGAGCCCAGACATAAACTTTGGCTCCTTGTCTGTTGCTCTTTCTAGTAAATTGGACTGCTTCCTGCTGTGGGGCACTGAGAAAACCCGTGACACCCAGGGTGCTGAGATGAGCAGGAAGTCACACGAGTCTGGAAGGCCACCTTTTTTAGGTGTAAGTCCTTTCTTCCTGGTGAAGTGCTTGTACATATAGATACTCAGGAAATGTTTATTGACTTGAACAGAGTAATACTGTCAGTGCCTGGTACCTAGTTAGCAGTCCATAAATAGTTACTAAATGAAAGCAGCAGAGCTTTCAAGAGCTTCAACGGAGCTGCCCACAAAAGCTCAGGATGCCTGAAAAGGCCGATGTCTTTTTCTCTACTCCTGGATTGGTAGGTAGGCTCAACCCTCGCATGGTGGTAAGGCCTCCTACATTCTCTGATGGCTCCTGACTTAACCTCCATTCTGGGCTGCAACTAAGATGAATCCTGAGGATACTTCCTACAAACAAGGGCATTGAGCCCAGCAGAGCCTGCTGGGCATCCAGGTTGGCTCATTAGTAGACAGCAAGCAGCTCTTCCTCCTGCCATGGCCCTGCAGCATGCCTGACATGGGAGCCATCCAGTCTCCTCCTGTGATTAACTGGCTGCAGTGTTCAGCAGAGCTCTCAGTCAGGAAGTAGCTGGACTCCAAACCCAGCTTCTTGGAAGCTCCTAATTGGGCTCTACCTGTCAAGAGGTAATAGAGAGAGACTTATTGATATGTTTGAAGTGCAACTTTGTGCTTTTTGATAACTAATAAATAGGATATTGGAACTTTCTTATTTTGCAGCCCAGTCTACAGAAGACATGTGAAAGATATTTATAGCTTTCATAACTGTGATCCTACTCCTTCCTAATTGCCAAGTAGTCCTCCCCACCCCCATCCCCCTTTTTTTTTTTCTGTGAATCATCTAGGACTTAGAGTCATTGCAACTGGCTAGAGAGGGACTTTAATCATCCTGAAGATTCCCAGATAGCTTGGGAGACAATAATATCATGTAAAAGATAGCTGCTTTCTTCCCTTTGGTTTGGGGACTTGGTTAAAGAAATGTTAGTAGATGGACAATATTTAGATTTTATATTCTGTGCCAGTAGTGCTAAGAAAAGATTACTGGCTTCAAGAGTGAGCAGTTCTAGGAGAGCGAGAAACCACAGCTAGGAGCTCCACCAGCCCTTGAAGATGCAGAGACATTTATCCAGTCCAGAGGGATGGGGAGATAACACACTGAGTATGGAATAGTGGTTAAGAGCCCTGGTTTCACAGTTAGGCTAATTCAGTTCAAATTGTACCTCTATTACTCATTAAGGGGTGACATTAGGGAAATCACATGATGTTTGAGCCTCAATTTCTGCATTTGTTTTATTTGGATGATGGTATGTATGTAACTGGGTTATAGCACATTCTAAGAGGGTGTGGGTAGGGATAGGGATGGTGGTATGTACCTCATGGTGTTATAGCACATTCTAAGAGGACAAATCGTAGCAACATTATTTTATATTCTTACTGAGCGTGCAAGCTTAAGCATGTCACTTAACTTCTCTGGGCCTCAGTCTCCTCATTTGAAAGGCATTAGAGCAGACGATGATTCTTTGTGTAAAATGGAGTCCAGTCAGGAGACAAGCCATGCCCATTGTTTTAAAAGAGAAGTTGATACAATTCATTATTAACCAGGAATTAAAGAACTGGAAAGGCAATCAGGGAGCACAAAGGAGCCACAGAGGAAACAGCTGCAGGGGCTGGGAACAGAGTGAAGAAGTTGTGACTATTAAAACTCAGAAACTTGGAGAAGGGGATGCACCTCTTAGCTCAGGTGGGTCCTGATGCCTCTGGGGAGGGGGAAGGAGAGTGGTACAACATGGCTGGTGCTGAGAAAACTGCAATCAGAATCCCTGTGCTGTGGCAACAGACTGCTATAGGAGTTCTAAAGAAGAAACCTTTCTGGGGCCATGCTGACCTAAATGGGAAGCAGGCAGGAAGTAGCCGATGGCGTCTCCCTCCTTTAGGTATCCCTTTAGGACTCCCCACCCCTAGAAAACACCTCAAGAGAGCAGCTGGCAAAGGAGAAATGGGCTGTGCAGGGTCCCATCCCCAGTATCACAAGGCAGAGTGTACAAGAGTGGGCTTGGAGAACATACTGTAATAACTGAGATTCTCAAACGTTCCTTTTAGGTCAGAGACTATGAGTCAGATTCTGAATCCCAAGCAGAGAACTCTGTACGTGGGCTCTTGGGACAGCCAGCATGTATGGTGGAATGAGTTTGAGCGCTGGAGTCAAACAGATCTGGGTTGTAATCTTATCTCTGACTCTTATCAGCTATGGGATGTTGGAGAAGCTACTTTGAATTTCTCTGAACCTCATTTCCTCCTATGTAAAATGATGATACAGTACCAATACCCATCTCATAGGGTTATTGTGATAATTAAACAAGAAGACACGTGAAAAGTGCCAGGTGGGGGTGTCTGGCACATGCACGGCAGCCATTATTATTATGAGGGGTTTTTTCAGTGATATCTGCTGATCAGCTTGCTCCGTTTGTTGGCTGCACACACTGATGTGGGCTGTTTTGTTTCTTCCACTCAGATGTGGTTCGGTGGACTGTGGAGGGGAGCCTGGGCAGCGGGTTGACAGTGGCCAAGGATTCCCATGCCAGCAGGGGCACCGGGGGCAGCATCTGCATGGCTGCTCTTGGCTTCTAGGAAGCGGCACTTCACCCAAAGTAAGCTCGTAGGCTGGTTCCTGAGGAGTGTGTTCAGTGCAGGGCAGGGGAGATGTTCCTACGACTGTGCCAAGCTTGAGCTGCAGTGAGTGGGCTCTTGGATGCCCTTCAAGCCAGAGGCAAGAATTTGATTTCCTAGGCAGAAATTCTGTAAACTAAGAGAATCATCTAGAATCTTTTTTCTCCACTCAACAGAGCTCTTATCCTTTTACTTTTTTTGGGTGAGTTCTTAAGCTAGAAATGATATGGACATACAGACCATTCATATTCTTGGAGGCATTAATAACTGGCTTTTCATTAGGTACCTACTTTGTGCCAACTATTGTACAAGGTCCTTTCTATGCATTATCTCTTATTCTTGAATCCTACAAGGTAAGTTTTAGTTTCCTAACATTCTATTCAAGGAAACCGAGGCACAGAGCTGGGAAATAAACTTGCCCAGGGTTTTCAAATAGTATTAAGTGGAGTCAGGATTAGAACCCAGGTCTGTTGGATTCTAGGCCTTTCTTTTACTCTTAAGCCAGGCTTTTCCCAGTGCTAGTTAAAAGTCGTGCAAATGTAACTTAGACAATGTCTGCATTTGTGGGTCACGCAGTGGTAGATTACCTAGCAGTGTACCCAACATACTTCCTTCCAACTCCCCATTGAAATAACAATTAAAGTGGTTTAAATGGCCTCTATTTAGCAGCCTCCCATCTTTACCCAGTGTCTCAAGAAAATGCCTAAAACACAAAGAAAAAGACAAATACTCGTAACTCAAATGGACAGTTTTGGGTGTGATTTAAATCTGCTATGGAGAATATTTTATTTAGCCAATATTCCAACAATTATTGGGGAGGAAATCTATGTAACCAAAAATGTGTTCTTAACCCAAGACAAGGCAGTCAGCTTTTTATGGTAAAACCATTCACCTAAGAGGTACATCTCTGACAATTTTTTCCCTTTAAATGTCTAAGTAATTTTGCGATTGCTATAAGCATCATAGGTGATAGGATTAAGCAGTGCTATTTCTTAGAAGCTCCTGCACACAGCATGGCCACCCGTCCCCTTCTGACAGATTCACCATAGGCTTAGCTAGAACAGGTTTTGCTAACAAATTCTGCTTGATGTGAGAAAAGCTTCTGAAAATACAGATTTCCAAAAGTTGTAGGAAGAGTGAAGTTGGGTTGAAAAAAACAATTTGCAGACTCTACTTGCTTCACCCTGCATAAAAGAGCAGTATTATTTGCTCAAGAGAAGGTGGGAAATGGCTTGTTCTTGCCCCATTGCCAGCTCCCTGCCTTGGAGGCCTCGGGTCTGTGCTAATATTATGATTCTAAATTTTATTTGGAAAAATTAACAGATGAGAGTAAACAGGGATGTTGTGTGTGTGTGTGTGTGTGTGTGTATGTCAAGGGGGTGGTGGTGGTGGTGAGAAATAGTATGCAAGAGGAGTACTTTCACTATTTGATTTTTTTTTTAAATAGAAAATTAAAGTAATTAGAAGAGTGTATGATTGGGAGAAAAAGACTTGGCAAATAGATTTGGAATAGAATAGATAAGTTTGAAATGGACAAATGGATATGTGTGTAATAAATGCATGGCAAAGCTCAAATATCTGAAAAGAGGAAAGATTATTCAATAAATTGTGCTGCAACAATAGATTAGTATGGAGGGCTGGGTGTGGTGGCTCACGCCTGTAATCCTACCACTTTGTGAGGCCGAGGCAGAAGGATCATTTGAGCTCAGGAGTTTGAGACCAGCCTGGGCAACACAGTAGACCCCATCTCTAAATAAACAAACAAACAAACAAAGTAAATAAATAAAAAATAAAAAATAGATCAATATGGGAAAAATCAAATTATAGCCTCACCTTATCTTATTTTTCAAATTAATTTTAGGTTGTTTAAATAATTCATTGTAAAAGATGAAAGGAAAAAATTTTAAGAAAGGAATTTACGAACCGAAAAGCAATGAATAAACTTGAAAGGAACATATTGATAGATTTATCTGCATTAAAAGATGAAGATATATAACTTATTTGATTCTTCTTGGAAGACCAAGTGAGATTAATTTGTATTAAAATGCTCGGCACACTGTAAAGTGGAATAACTTAAAAGTATTCGGAGCCATTGATAGGAGGATGTAATTTTTTCATTTGGTGGTCACAATCCAAATTTTTTCTCCCAATTTTCACTTAAGCATGCTAGAATTTAGTTCATTACAGCTGTTTTCTAAAATTTTTTATTAAAAAAAAATTTTTTAAATGGGGACTCCCTATGTTGCCCAGGCTGGTCTTGAACTCCTGAGCTCAAGTGATCCACCCACCTTGGCCTCCCAAGGTGGGATTACAGGCGTGAGCCACTGCACCCAACCTTAGAGCTGTTTTGTTTTAACAAAAGCATAAACAATAATTTATTCCCTACCATAATTTCACAGCAAAGGTATTCATTACTATTTTGAGAAGGAAAGTAGCACCTAGCTAACGTATATGAATTCATTCTCTCAAATATTTCCTACCTGAAGAACACAGGACTGCACTGGTGTAGATTCGTAGGACTTGGAATTGCAGTAACACTGCCAGCTCTCTGGATTGTTGGAGAGGTTTCAGTAACAGGGAGGGGGTTCTGCAGAATGGAGACAGGGCAGAGCTGCAGAACCAGGGAAAGGGACTGGGCTGAGCTGTGTTTTCTTAGAGAAAACAGCCTGGGCTTTGGAATAGGTAGATGAGGGTTGAATCTTGACCCCTCACTCACTAATGACTATCTCTGTGCCAGTTACTTAATTTCTTTGTTCTATTCAGAGAAGGTAACAATAGTGCCTACCCTGGTTGGGTTCTCACAAGGATTAAATCATCATCACCCAAGGTAGGGGAAAGCGTATCAAGTGTGGAGTCAGTATCCTGTGGAGTTCTCTTCTCCTTCCTTGCCTTCCTTTCTTTGTCTTCTCGCAGCCCGTTTGTCCCCAGCTCTCTATCCAATTTATTCTACAATCTTACACTGAAAGCTGGCTCTGCACTTGGCAATGGTGTGGGGAATATGAGCAAGAAAAAGACATAAGGCCAGGCACAGAGGCTCACATCTGTAATGCCAGCACTTTGGGAGGCTGAGTGGGGAGGATGGCCTAGGAGTATGAGACCAGCCTAGGCAACATAGTGAGACCACAGGTCTAAAAAAGAAAGAAAAAGACATAGCGCAGGTCTTCAGGTTGTTCACAGTACAGTGCAGACATGTGCACTCAAGCAGATAAGTCCAAAGCAAGGTGATTAGAAAGGATTACTGCAATATTTTGGGGAGCTCCAAGAAGGCAGCTCCTAGAAAGGCTGAGAAAACAATCAAGGAAAGGTTATCCTCAAAACTTTGTAGGAATCAATGGCTCCAAATACTATGCGGGAATCCCCACCCCTGTCTCCTCATTTCAGACTCCTCTTAGAGGCCTGAAGCTAACAACTGGGACCCACAGGGAAGGTTTTCAGCAAGAGGGGCTGCAACGCTGTTAAGATACCTGGTAGCGTTTTCCAATTCCTGAGCCTCCCCAGCAACTGAATGTCTCATGCTCTCTAGCTAATTCCTGTGCCCATCAAACCAGCTTGTCCTGGGAGGATGCCGCTTTAACTTTACCCATGGGTGAGAGGGGGAATGTAGTTCTGATCTCACACAAGTAAGAGTGTACATAGCTTATCTTATTACAGTTATGAGGACTGTGGCCATAAACAGGATCAAGAAGAAGACATTTACTTTCTCCAAAGTGATCCATAGGGAAGTGCTGCAAGTAAAGTAAACAGAATACACGGGGCTGGTGGCCTTGAGGAACCACCCCTGTGGGAAGCCTGAGCCTGAGATTGTTTGCTGCTCACAGGTGGCTCCTTCATCCTGTGGAATGGATTACGAGCCTCAATGTTGGGGAGTGATTTATTGTTTGTGAACCTCTGCTTCGTGGGTCATTGTTTCCCCATTGCTGTGGTTTGTGGGGCTATGGTTTTGCAGTGCGATGGTCTTTCTGTAGAGGTGCCTCTTCTATTGTTAGACTGATCTAAGTTAGCAAGTTTTCCTTATCATGAACGCTAGTAGGTCTTCCTGTAACTTCTCCCCACTGGTCTTTATGCTGAGTCTGACCTATCCTCGGCTGCCATGTTACCCACTGGATGCTTTCTATGTATCAGTTGTATTCCTTACTTCTGGCTACCCACCTAATTAGACTGGTAGGCATTATTACTCCCATTCTGCAGATAAAGAAATGGATTCAGAGAGATTCAGCAACTTGCTTGAGGTCACAGAGCCGATAAGTAGCCCAGTCATAATTTGAGTACCTCTCTGCTTGACCCAAAAGCTTGTACTCATACCACTGCACTGTGCTATTTTTAAAAACTTTGTTTATTTTTCTAAGTTAGAGACAAGGTGTCACTCTATTGCCCAGGCTGGTCTCGAGCTCCTGACCTCAAGCAGTCCTCCGGCCCCGACCTCCCAAAGTGCTGGGATTCAGATATGAACTATTGTTCTTGGCCTGAACATTTTTTTTTTTTGTGGTAAAATATACATGACATAACATTTACCATTTTAGCCGTTTTTAAGTCCACAGTTCAGTGGTGTTAAGCACATTTACATGGTTGTACAGCCATCAGCTATCTATTTTCTAAGCACTTAAAGTCAGCAGGGGCATTCAAGCCTTTTGGTAGTGGGCCACAAGATCATTAATTAAGATTGTTAACCTATGTGTGTGGGCCAATGCATTTTTATTCAGTAACAATGGCTTGGTGAACAATTATTTGGATGAAACTCAAATGCATAACCAAATTTAGGAGTTTTTGAATTATTTATTGTCTTCTGTCAGAACATTATAGTAGTCTCTTAACTTCAGGAAATTAATCAAGAACATCTCACTGTTATGTGGTTAATTACATTCAGTTTTAATTACAATTGCTAATTGATCCCAGCCTACCAGCTTGACATCTGGGTGCAGCAGGCCCACCAGGATAGTGGCAGGCAGGTAAATGCACTGGAGAGCTTCTGTGGGTTACCTCATTAGATAAGTTAGTGGTTGCTAAGAATCTGGGAAGCTCACCTTGGGGGCAACAGGTATTACCAAGAAGGGTGGGTATCTGGATTCCCTGAAAGTTTTCTCTTCAGTTTGAACATCCTTGTTTTTCTCCATGAAACATAGATTCAAAAGCCCTTTATCGAGTGCACTGCTCTCTAGCTGTTGACTAACAGTTCTCTCCAAGCATGCATCTAGAATGAAACCCAACACTCCTGCCACAATCCTGCCAGTACAGGGCAGATCGTGCTTCCCTAGCCTTGGACAACATGCCTCCACCCATGCTGCCATCTCTGGCAATGCTCTCATGTTGCTGGCTCATATTGAGCCTGTAGTTGGTCCAAACTCCAAATCTTCATATGTATTATTGCAACACCAACCTTCCATACTGATGTCCTTGTGAACTGGCCTTTTGGACTCAAGAGTAAGACTCTAAATCTTTCAAGGATGGACAATGTGTGCATTGCTCATGCCCATGGACCGCTCTAATATTAGTACCTTTCCTCTGAGTACAGATCTGGCCTCAGAATCCTTCCCAACACAGTGCTTCAGTCATCTCCAATCATCTCTCAGAGTTGGTACACAAGTACAAACCTAATAGTTTTCCTTGCTTTTCATTTACTTTATTATATCTTATTTTATATTTAACCCATCATGGCAAAGGATAAGTAGAGGTTCTTCTTAAGAACAAGAAGACGAGTGATGGCCAAAGGATTAGAGCTTGATAGAATTAATATCACAAATGTTTAGAGAACTTGAAAGTTGATTGCAGCAAAAGAACAATGGCTTTTATTAGAAAAAGTAATTATTCTCTTACAGTCTAAGGCCTTATTTTGTGCACAGATTATGCCAAAAACTTACCTATTAGAGGAAATCACAATTGCACTTCCCCACCGAGGTTCAGCTTCTTTCTGCTCCCACCACTCTTCCCTATTGCATCAGGTTGGCTTTAGATTCAGGAGAGGGAAGAGAGAAGGGGAGTAGGCCTATTTCCTCCTCTCTTATTCCAAAACACTCATACAGCAATATATTAATATCAGTTTTCAGTTCTTTCTTCTCTAAATAGAAATGGGTAGGGAATGGAAGAGGAAGATGCTGGGTTGACGGCAGTTTATCTTGGTTAAGAGAGAATGGGTTGGGTTGAAGTTTGGGGTTTTGCAAAATACAGCAACTAATCTTCCAGTTAGCAAAGGAGCCTGCAGTATCCTGCAGCTACATACTATTTCTTCACATTTGCAAAAGTCTCTGTGATTCACTGGGTTCAGCAAACTAAAGCATCTTTGCTTGATGAGTGTATAAAACATATATTATAGATGATAAAGCTGGACACAGATAATTGTTCTCTTAATATGCTCTACGTCAGGTATTTCAGACATCTCATCCTGCAGTTGGGAGGGGTTTCCTCATGTGCCCTTGACTTGGTGCCATTCTAATGTTGATAGAGAATATTTTCAGAGCCTGGTTTGCAAGAGCTCTCAGTTGTTAAATGTTCAGGTTGCTATTCATCTCTTCTTCCCTTTCTGCTTCTGACCAATGGGAAGAACACATAAGGAATAATAGCAAGAGAAGAAAGTAACACTTGTCCTCAGTATCAAGTCCCTGATATTCAAAGCAAATTCTGCTAAAAGCTGGATTGGAGAGCCAGATGCTGAAGTGCATGCTTCTACCACAGAGACCACATCTGAGTCATTAGACCCACATGCTCAGCCAGACGAGCGAGTGGGCATGTGAGCAGCTTGGCCTGCAGAGCAGACATAAAGTCACTTATCTGACCACCTACACACCAGGACTATGGGCCTACCTCACCCACCCCAGTTGTAGGTAGAACAAGAACAGCAGCTCTTCCCACAGAGGAGGAACTGCCCAGTGGTGCTTACCATGTGGGAGCAGTAATGGAAGAGATGGTCTTTACCACAGTGATGCCGCCCACCAGTAATGGTGACATAGTGAGTGTGAACTCCCACTCACCGATGATTCCTTTCCTTGGTGGGAAGTGAGTAAGGGGTAGGAGATACCAGAGAATTCCACTCTGAAGAGTGGGGAAAAGGCCCTTCATCTACCAGCTGGGACTTACTACAAGCATAAACATTCCTCCCCTCCCTGGCATCAGTTCTGAAAAGTACTGCTATTGTGCTATTCCTTGGAGAATGTCTTGCGAAGTAATTCGAGATGTGATGATTGGGGAAGCAAACTTAAGCTGAAAAGACAGTAGATATTTTCCCTCCCCTACTGCCTGTGTACTTGCATAAAGGATACTGGAATCTTGATTGGAGAAAAATGTTATGACTGGAAAGCTCCTCATGGATAACCTGCAAATCAATCTTTGGTTTATGCAAGGCAGCACCTGTGCCTCTGTGCTGATGGTGCAGATGTAGTAATGACCACGCTGAAATGCCAGCTGCAAGCCTGGGATTTAGGGAGCCTACTCTTTCCCTGGGGTGGGGGTTGGGTGAATCCAACTTAAAGAAAAACAAACATATGAGAGGTTGGCGTGGAGAGACTGAAAAGTCTGTGACTACTTGGCTTGTGAAAATTGCCTTTTGTTTCTGAAACAATATTATTTGTGAAGAAAATTCAACTCTCCCAGTGTAAGAACTCTTCTTTTTGTATTTGTATTTTATATTGGAATGCACTATGGCAATGATTGAAAAACACCGTGAATGAATTTGGGAATTAGGCCAAGTTAGGTTTAGGATCTAGCTCCATTACCTATCAGGGGGACCTTGGCTAAGTTACGTCACTTCTCTGAGCCTTGGTTTCCTCACTTAGAGTGAGGACAGTTATAGCCACCAGTCAGGGTTGTTGCACAAATTACAGATATTGAATGTAAAGTTCTGGCCCAGAATGAATTTTGATGACGATTATGTTTTTTTCTAAGTGCTTTACCCTGCATCACAGTGGGTGGATTTGCAAGCTTTATTTTTGCACAACACTAAATCCAGGGGGATATTTGTTTCTTTATGTGGTCAGAAAAACTAGGTCAGATTTTAAAGTGGGAATTAGGAGATCATGTCCCAGAGAAATCCTTTCTAATCTGTATTGGTTTTTCTAGAGAATTAGATCATCCAAACATCTGCAGATTCACTGGAGGCTGTATTGCACTGCCAGATGTGGTTATTGTGATGGAATACTGCCCAAAGGGAAGCTTGATGGATGTTCTGCTCAATGATAACATCTCTTTCAACTGGGGATTTTGGTAGGAGCCAGACATTTGAGTGGTAGGAGTCACAACCAGTGAACTCCTACAACTAAGCCCTTCTTTGATCAACATTCCTAAGGCTCATTGCCATGTGAATGCGTTATCTTGGAATCAATTATCCTGGAAGTGAATGCAATATCTTGTGTTATATCTTGTGGCATGGATGGGCAGGTTGGTATACCTAGACAGGGAAGACTAGAGGAAATAGGATTTTGAATGAGGTCCCTCTCCCCCAACTGGTGCCCAGAGGAGACCTGGCTAAGTAGAACATTCTGTTTAGAACATTGTTTGGCGTAGCTATAGGCCACAGCAAATAGTCCTGACAAGACGAGCAGTAGGTCTAATTAATTAATCTAAGAAACACTATGCTAGACACTGTAGGTAATAAAAATAAATGAGAAAGATTTTCTGCCTTCAAGAATGTCTTGGTCCATTGGGGAAGGCAAATAAGCAGAGTTACAGAACAGCGATAGAGTTCCTAGGGGTATGTCAGGTGCACAGGAGTGGCATCTAGCCCAGACTGGGGATGGGAAATGGGCTTTGGAAGGTTTCCTACTGGCGGTGAGCTGGGGAAGGGTAGACATTTCTTCTTCTTGTTTTTTTTGACAGTAGCCATTCTAACTGGAATGAGATGACATCTCATTGTGGTTTTGATTGGCATTTCCCTTCCTCTTCTCAAATATGATCAGCTACAGAGATTTGATTACCTGAACTCTGGGATACAAGTGGAGAACAGGCCAGGAGTTCAAGCCAGGCCAGCAGGTCAAGCCAGAATTTATGTGGGCACAAAATTGATGATGGCCCAGAAGGGGGGGTAATCCTCACTGAGTCCAACAGTATTAGGCTGGAGGTCTTGAAACCCCTTCTGCCTTGAATCGGGATTGGCACTACAACATTCCAGATAAGGTGCTTTGGTGGTAGCTGTGGGGATGTAAGGCAGACAGACTTGGATCCTGTTAGCTACTCTTCTGGATGACACTTTCCTTTTAGAAACACTTTCAGGTTCAGGAAGCAAATGAGGTGGAGCCGAATAGAACTCTAAGAAAACTGAACTCGAAGACTTTCTAAAAATACATGTGTGTGATACTATGCTTCTCTCTTCCTTCTCCTCCATGTTCTTCTCTTTCTTTTTCTTAATTTCTTCTTCTAACTCCTTCTTTTCCTTTTCTCTATTCATATTTGTTGTGGGTGCATATTGAGAAGTCAATTATTTATGATATGTAAGTTCCTCCTAAAAGATGTAGGGAGCTTTGTTTTTGTTGCAAAAGTTTATTATTTTTGTTCTGGAATTGATTAAAGTATCACCTTTCTAAGAACATTGGAGGCCTGAGTCCTGTTCTCAGCTCACATGGAGTCCTTTGGCATGTCCAGGTTTTCTTTGCCTGGACGTTGCATAAGGAATGGCCTATCTTCATCAGTGCAAAATGTACCGTGGGAAGCTAAAATCTACTGACTATGTGATTGATGGTTGCTGAGTTTGTAAAATTTCAGGCAAAGGGAAAAGCATCATATTGGTATACATGCTTTCCTAGCAACAGAGTATGTTTCCTTCCGGAATCACTTTTTAGACACGGTCTGTTTGGTTTTGACAATAGCTATCATTTATGGAACTATACAAAAGGCTAGTGTTGGGGAGGGATGGGGATGTCAGCAAATTACAGCCCACAGCCCGTATTTTTTGTTTGTTTTTAATTCTGCAGCCTGTTTTGGTAAATAAAATTTTACTGGAACACAGCTATGCTCATTTGTTTATGTATTGTCTGTGGCTGCTTTTGTGCTACAATAGCAGATTTGACTAGTTGCTACAGAGACTGTATGGCCCACAAAGCCTAAAATATTTATCATCTGGCCTTTAAAGAAAAAGTTTGCAGACTCCTCTTCTGTGGCAAGTGTTGTACATGGTTGCCATATATGGCTGCTTAGGCTGTGCACTGCACAAAGACTAGTGTGAATGACGCTCACTGGGATTGTGCAGTAGCGGTCCTGGCATTGAACATGCACATTTGTTGGGCATAGACTAAAGTTGTTTACAGGCAATATAATAGGGTGCTTGAAATTTACTTTAAAATTCTCCAGCAAAACAAAACATGCCAACTGTAGGGAGAATGTAGGTGGAACACAAATGGTAGAATTTGGTCATTGTTGAATCTGGGTGATATGCACGTGGGTTTACATATGTTTGAAATCTCTTTTCTGTTTTTGAGATGGAGTTTCGCTCTTGTTGCCCGGGCTGGAGTGCAATGGCACTATCTTGGCTCACTGCAGCCTCTGCTTCCCAGGTTCAGGTGATTCTCCTGTCTAAGCCTCCCAACTAGCTGGGATTACAGGCACCTGTCACCACGCCTGGCTAATTTTTATATTTTTAGTAGAGATAGGGTTTCACCATATTGGCCAGGCTGGTCTTGAACTCCTGACCTCAGGTGATCCACCTGCCCTGGCCTCCCAAAGTGTTGGGATTACAGGTGTGAGTCACTGTGCCTGGCCTGAAATCTTTTATAATAAAAAAGGTACGACAAAAAAAGACATAGGTCAGTGATGGGTAAAGATTAAGTCCAAGAGGAGATTGGTGGGCAGACCAGGATTGTCATAGTAATCTTCTTAAAATACAATCATGCAGATAATCTGGAGTTCATGAATTAGTGCTTAGATTTGGGCAGTGCTCTTTGAATGAAAATGGATTAGTTTTTTCACATTATCTTCTCCTTTCCCTCATGCATTACCTTTAAATCTAAGTTTAGTTAGGCAAATGCTTCTTATTTAGTCAAATCTTAGGTGATTATGATTCCACTTTCTTTACTTGGTCAGTTCTGTCATTGTCATCTGTCATGGACTTCACATAGACCTAAATCACAAAGACATTTAGGTCAATGATGACGATGACGATACTTGTGGTGCTTTCCAGTTTAATGGTTGTACATCCCCAATGAAAAATGTGTTTCTTTTCTTTAATGGTAAACTTTGGTTTGCAATTGTACAGAAAATAAGATTTCAATGCATGATGTGGTTCATACCAACAGTGCCTGAAACAGATGCATCTGGCCCCAGAAACTTACTTCATGTTGAATTGTGAAACTCCTGCTCCAGGAGATGTGTACAGATAGCTCTTTGTCTCTTCATTTTTTCCTCCCCTCATTGTCCTTTCTTTAATTACACTTAATGAAGACTTACTATGAGCAAAGCATAGTTCTGGGCACTAGAAACAAACAACAACAAAAAAATCAAATAAGACTGGTTCTTCCCTTGGGGAATAGATGGAATCAGAGGAGTAAGCCAGTGAAGACCAGGGTGGTAAGTGTTAAGAGGGAGGCAAGCTCTGGGTGCTAGAGATGAGTAGGGTAGCTAAGGAAATGATAGAAATGATAATAATGAAAATAGCTAACAGTTATTGAGCATGTACTTGCCAGGCACTTTGCTAAGTGCTCTATATCATGACCTTATGTAATCTATACAGCAAACCTGCAGGGCATATACTGTTTTCACCTCTATCACATAGGAATCTGTAGGTTACACAGTGATGAGTGGCAGAGTGGGGATTCAAAACCAGGTCAAAGCCATCCTATCCAACCTGCCGTGGCGCTCAGAACAGAAGGAACTTCCTGGGCAGAGACTCAGAGTTGTAACAGTATAGTGCTCATTAACTCTTTAGGAATTCATACAAGATTGGCTAAGCATGAGAAATGTAAGGTTATTATTCCCTATTGCAGGATAGTAAAAGTATCTCCAAGCACAAACTGGTTAGTTATGGTATAACATCAATTTTGATCTCTTGGAGACATAATCTCAGGTTATTAGACAAGACTGAAGAAAAAGTAGAAGACTGGAAAATTAGAATGTGTATTCTTATTAAAAAAGGTTTAATTTTCATTTCTGTCTATTGTCCCAGGGAAAAATTAAATGGGCAGAATGAAATTGCAATCTTTTAAGGGAGAGATGAATAGACTTAGCGTGACTCTACTGGGTTGAATGTGGGAATCTTAGAGATGGACATTTAGAAGCTCTTTATTGTCTATAAGTGGAGAAAATATTACAAATACAATTTAGCATTATAATTATTCATGTTGAACATTTAGCAGTTGAATTAAAAATATTCTTTTTTGTAGAAATATTTTAAAAGTTCAGAAAAAAAAGCAGGCAGAAAAAGGTGGAAGGAGCTGATTTGCTGAGTTTTCCGGACTTCGTCTTTCTCCCGTGCTGGATGCTTCCTGCCCTCAAACATCAGACTCCAAGTTCTTCAGCTTTTGTACTCTTGGACTTACACCAGTGATTTGTCAGGGGCTCTTGGGCCTTCGGCCATAGACTGAAGGCTGCAGTGTCGGCTTCCTTACTTTTGAGGTTTTGGGACCTGGACTGGCTTCCTTGCTCCTCAGATTGCAGACAGCCTATTGTGGGACTTCACTGGTGATCACATGAGTCAATTCTCCTAATAAACTCCCCGTCATATATACATATATCCTATTAGTTTGTCCCTCTAGAGAACCCTGACTAATACAGGTTTTGGTACCAGGAGTGGTTCTAGAGGAACAGAATTTTAAGGATGGATTTCTTTAGTTGGTTTTGGGGTTTCTGGAGTTGGCTGCTTAAGCTGATTAGACCTGAAAATGCTGAGGACTCTACTTTTAATAGTATAGAAAACACTGATAGTCTTTGGTGTGAACTCTTTAGAGAATTATGCAGAATAAATGCATTTGATACTCCTGATTCACTGCTCTTGAGAGGCAAGGAGTTTAGTGACTATACATAGTAACTTTGACCATATGTGGGGAACCAAGGAATGTAATGAAGTTGGTTAGTTGTTCCTAAGTTCGCTTGACAAAGTAATGAAAGAAACCGTTGAGCTCAGGAATTGTAACTCCCAGCCCCAGAAGCACATACTGAGCCTCAAGTTTTCTAAGGTTGCCCTGAGTGAGAGTCTTATCTCTTGTAGACAAAGGCTGAAATTGTGGAAAATCACACACAAGCTCTTATCATGCAAGTGGCTGACCTGCAATGAAAGGTGCATGCTCAGTCTCGCCAGGTGTCTACTGTTAAAGTGAGGGCATTGATTGGAAGAGTGTGACCCTGCAACTGGGAATGGGGATGTGTGGGAGGACCCTGATGAGGCTGGGGACACTGAGCCTGTAAACTCTGATGAGGCTTTTTTGACAGAGGAAACAGCCTTCCCATCCACCATTTAGGAATGGAAATTACTTCTCAGCTACCTCTGCTGACATCTGGTGAAGAAGGTGTGAATGTCAGGGTCATGACGCTTCAAGACTTGATGGGTGCTTGGGAGGCACTGGAGCCAGTGGCTTCCCAGCTTGGTGGCTAAGAACCTTTTTTCCAATTGGATGACAACTCTCAGAGGACTGGACATCAATGAAAGGAGTCAAACTGTGACTTGTTTTTATCCTTGTTTCTGCCCTTGACATAAAACCAAACCAATAAAATGCGCAAAACAAACACATATTTTAAAAAGTGGAAAAGATGGAAGTGGATTTGGGACCATGTTATAGGTTCTGAAAAGCTGACTGTCACTGTCTTCCAGGAGCAGAGGGCACAGATAAAGTTCACATTGTCAAGACAAGATATGTGAGAATAACCATGAGAAAGTTAGGAAAGGACTAGAAAATTATAATTAAAATAGCTTGGTATTGCTGCACGATTCCATTTATATAAAGGACAAATACAGGCAAAACTAACCTCAGTTGTCGGAAGTGAATATAGTGGTTACCCTGTGTATGTTTGTGTGTGTGTGCAGTGACTGGGATGGAGCTTGAGGAGGGCTCTGGGGGGCTGGCATCTGGGAGCTGGTGTCATAGTGTGTTCAGTTTATAAAAATTCATCGGTGGTACACTTATGCTTTGTGCACTTTTTAATATAAACCTCAACGAAAAGTTAAAAAATTAGTATGATACTATTAGCAGGATAGACAGAAAGATAGAGATAAGAGTAGGTAATCCTGGCTGGGTGTGGTGGCTCACGCCTGTAATCCCAGCACTTTGGGAGTCCGAGGCGGGTGGTGGATCACTTGAGGTCAGGAGTTCAAGACCAGCCTGGCCAACATGGTGAAACTCTGTCTCTACTCAAAATACAAAAATTAGCCGGGTGTGGTGGTGCATGCCTGTAATCCCAGCTACTAGGGAGGCTGAAGCAGGAGAATGGCTTGAACCCGGGAGGTGGAGGTTGTGGTGAGCCAAGATCACACCACTGCACCCCAGCCAGGGCTATTGAGCAAGACTCCGTCTCCAAAAAAAAAAAAAAAAAGGGAAAAAATAGAATAGGTAATCCTGAAATGGATCTGATAATTTAGTATTTGATAAAAATGAAATCTCAGATAAGTGAGGAAAGGAGAGATTGTTTAAATAAAGGATTCAGGACAACTGTCTGAACATTTGGCAAAAGTAACATCAGGTCCCTTCACCAGAATTAATTTGGGACAGGTTTATACTTTCAATATGAAAAAATGAAACTTTAGAAGTACTAGAAGGAAATACCTACATGTGATTATATAACACCACAATGAAAATTAACACACATGAGTAATTGGGAAAAGTTATTTTTAACATTATCTCTTGTGAGTATAACTAACAAACAAAAAAGTTCAGGCTGATATCCATAGTCTAGTGGATATTAGTAATGTAAATGTCCTAATGAATAACTTATAGTCTACAATTATAGACAAGTTTATGGACAACTAAATTAATTTTAATTATAATTTAATTTAATTTAATTTTTATTTTTATTATTTTTTTTGAGATGGAGTCTCCCTCTGTCGCCCAGGCTGGAGTGCAGTGGTGCGATCTCGGCTCACTGCAAGCTCTGCTTCCTGGGTTCACGCCATTCTCCTGCCTCAGCCTCCCGAGTAGCTGGGACTACAGTCGCCTGCCACCAAGCCCGGCTAATTTTTTATATTTTTAGTAGAAACGAGGTTTCACTGTGTTAGCCAGGATGGTCTCGATCTCCTGACCTCGTGATCCGCCCGCCTTGGCCTCCCAAAGTGCTGGGATTACAGGCGTGAGCCACCACGCCTGGCTAAATTTATTTTTAAATGTGACATATGTACAAGTGAATCTGATTTATTTGGAAGAAATATTTACCCTTTTTTTTTTTGGATAATTATGACCTGGTAGAATTCAGAAATGTGGGTATAGCCAAGCTCACCTAGGCCATATCTTTACTGTCTCTGCCAACAGTGGCTCTGCTTTCACAGGAGATGGGAAGATGTGTGGATTTTTAATTTGCTCTGGATGAGAGATTTTACATCAAAATGAGCCATGTGTCTTTTTGCAGCTGCTGTCATTTTGTTGGAGATCGCCACATCCAGTGACCCAGTCTCAGTAAGACTCTATTAAACACATTTTCAAGTGAACCATCAAGAAGTCTGTTTCTCAGTCATTCAGCTGTGAACAGTGTGCTCTGCCCTAGCCAGAGAATTACGTTGTGTCTGATTTGTTCATATATGTTTAAGAAAGAATATGATATATATGTCTATATCTATATATGCATACATATATAGATACATCCATAGATATAATGTATATTTTAGTATATATTTAGAATAGCATATGCTTTTTGTTTGAAAAAGTCTCATACTGTAAAGTCTTCTGGCTATTAGGGTGAGTTTCCCCTATCCAAATTTAGATATGTTGAGTTGAAAGAGACCATAACTAAAAATACTCTGGCTACATCCGGAACATGGGGATCCTTTGGGATCTGTTTCATTTGACCATATTCTAATCATAATGATTTTGAGCACGGATTTTGTGCCCCAGGATGTGAATCCTCCAATAAATTTTTCTGTTAGGTTTTGTTTATTTATTTTAAGAAATTTACCTCTAGGTTTATAAATTCTTGTGGGTCAGAAATATACACATTTTCAACACAGATCAAAACTGTCATAAAGCTATTGTTTATAAGAGAAATAGGTGAGTGAGGTAGAGCCTGGTTCTTTGAAATCATTTTTCATTGCATTATTTGAATTGTAAAACCCTCGGGAATTGTGTATGTTAACCAATGGTTTCATGTGCTTCTAATTGCCATTTAACAGATAAATTAAGGGGTGTGGGAATATCAACCAGCACAAGCTAACATTATTAACTGATCTTGCTGCTTTATTTTTATTTTTTTGAGACAGTGTCTAGCTGTGTCACCCAGGCTAGAGTGTAGTGGCATGACGGTGGCTCACTGCAGCCTCAACCTCCTGGACTCAAGCCATTCTTCCACCTCAGTCTCCTGAAGAGCTGGGACTACAGGCACATAACACTGTGCCTGGCTGATTCGTTTATTTTTTTTTGTAGAGACAGGGTCTCCCCCTGTTGCCCAGGCTGGTCTGATCTTACTGCTTTTAAATAAATGCAAGGAGGAGCAGAAGGAGAGATGAAAGTATATAATAAGGAAAATCTGGCCGGGTGTGGTGGCTTATGCCTGTAATCCCAGCACTTTGGGAGGCCAAGGCAGGTGGATCACCTGAGGTCAAGAGTTTGTGACCAGCCTGGCCAACATGGTGAAACCCTGTCACTACTAAAAACTGCAAAAATTAGCTAAGTGTGGTGGCACACGCCTGTAATCCCAGCTACTCGGGAGGCTGTGAGGCAGGAGAATCGCTTGAACCCAGCAGCTGAAGGTTGCAGTGAGCCAAGATTGCACCACTGCACTCCAGCCTGGGCAACAAGAGCAAAATTTGTCTAAAAAAAAAAGAGAGAGAGAAAGAAAGAAAGAAGAAAAAGAAAGAAAGAAAGAAAAGAAAGAAAGAAAGAAAAGAAAGGAAAAATCTGCCTCAACTTTCAGATCAGAAAAATCATGACATTTTGACTAAAACGAAGAATTCATTTTATGCCAATTATGACATTATTTGGGTTCATACACTGTTCCAATTTTCACCCAATCATCTGGTTACCACCAGCTGCAATGTGTGTTTAAGTAAATTAATTTTCAACAACAACCTTGTATTTGCAATTTAAGTGTAGTTCCACAGAGACCCAAAACAAAACCAATAAAAAAACCTACCATTCTTCATGAGGACTGGATCATAGTAGTCACCATTTGTTGTTTGTATCTGAAAGCACTCTCTCAGACAAATGCAGATGAGTGAGGTCATTTCTATACAGAGCAATAAGCATATATGGAACAAGTCTATGTCAGGGACTAGGCTGACTGCACCCTGTCCTCCACAGGAGGAAGCCGAGTATGTGTCTGGGGAGTAAGGGACCGACCAGTGTTGTTAGAAGCCATCAGTCTGTGCTGGGGAGCCCGTGGAATGCTGGATATCTAGGAGGGGCCTTTTGGTGGAGATTCGTAAGTGCCAGGTTGTGGAAGCCACGGTTGATCAGAAAGGAGCACTGTTACCTCTTAAATGGTGGGAATGACACAGTGGAAAGAAGGAGACACACATGGGTGGCAGAATGGACTTTTCTTTCTGTCATGGTTAATTAAGGCACTTAGAAAAGGCTCTAGAGTGGATTTCATATAAGCAGGCCTAATTCGCAGTGTAATTCTAAGTGCTGTTTAACAGATAAATGGATACACTTGCTAATTTGACCCCCCTTTTTTTTCCTGTCAGGAGGAGACTCAGGGGTTGAATCAACCATTTTAGCTTGCTCTTTGGGGACACCTGGAAGTCACCTTATAGATTATTTGTGCCATTTTATTTCCAGACAAGGCAACTGAGATTAAGAGACCTGTTTAAGACTCCAGTGCACTCTCTCACTCCCATTTAGTTCTCTGGAGGAAGGATATAAATTCAGCCCTGGGCTCCCCATTCCTCTTTCTCCAACACTACTTCCATTATGATTTTGGGTGATGTCAGTATCCCGAAGGACGATGTGTCCAATATCTGGCCCATCAGTTCTTCAACCCCATCTTCTCCCATGATCTTTTCCTTCATTTTGCCTCAGCTACTCATACTGTATAACAGCGAGACAGTTTCATTACCTATCATTGGATCCCCCTCACAATTTCAATGTCACCATTTTACTCTTTGGCCTCCTGCTCCTATTTTTCTAGCAAATTCCCTTTAGTTTCCCAGTTCCACCAATGGATCAGGCTGGGACATCCAACCCATTGACTTGACTGCCTCTCACCCCTCCCATGCCTCCTTTTCTGAACCTGGCTTAGATTCCATGGTCCATCACTGATACAGACTCACTTGCCTATGCTGTCTTCTTCTGTTGTCTTATCACCAACTGTTGAATTATATATGTTTGGTTGATCGCTATCTTCTCCACCCAACCACAGACTATACACTCTTTGCTCCTTGCTGTAGCCCAAGTGTCCAGAACACAGTTGGCACAAGGTAGGTACTCAATAAATGTTAGTTGAATGAATTAATAAATAAATCAGTGAAGGTGAGACTAGCTTTCAGAAGGGTTAAATTATATTTTTGCTCTAAAGTAGTTGAGCACATGGTTCTGTTTTAATTATTTTGAATGCTATGTTATTTCTATTTTTCTTCATTTCTTTTCTCCCCTCCCATAGAAGGAAGAGCGTTATTCTGAAGAGCATTCCTTATGTCTCCCTCTTGAGTTGCTGATCACAGGGAAGCCTGAGAATCACTATCCTTGCCCCTCAGAGTATGCAGAGGGCAGGAAGTAAGGAGGGAAAGGTTATTTGATGGGTGCTGACTCAGAAGCCATCCCATTGTCTAACCACAAGCTCATGGTTTATGTCTTGGAAAGAGATATATCGACAGGAGTAAGCTGTTGCCTTAAGTAACAATTTCTTGGTGTCTTTCTGGCTTTTTGGAATCTACCTCCAGGTGCAGATGATTCAGCAGGCAATCGGAATATGTGTTAGGAGCTTGGGGTAGAGGTTCAGATGGAGGGAGAAATTTGGGAACCAGCACTGTAGGGCTATAATGCAGATGTGGATGAAGATGTAACCTTCTCAGGGAGAATGTTTATAGAGAGAAGAGCAGAGAGAGGAGCCATGGCAGAATCCTGAGACGTGAGCCCAG
Organism: Homo sapiens; assembly: GCF_000001405.40. Taxonomy (NCBI): domain Eukaryota; kingdom Metazoa; phylum Chordata; class Mammalia; order Primates; family Hominidae; genus Homo; species Homo sapiens. The sequence continues at coordinate 32,854,126 of NC_000009.12, read as the reverse complement.
CATTCCCAGAGAGCTCTGGTGCCATCAAAACATGACAAAGTGACCCACGATGAAACAAAGCAAGCACGCTTGTATATGCAGCATGCCCCATCGCAGACACAGCTGTAGTGCCGTAACACCCGTCACTTGGAGATTTAGACACTCATTTAGGCTTATTATGATTTGTCTAATTGACAGGAATTAATTTACTAAAACATAAAATGAGATTTGTAACTTTGAAAGGGAGAGTGGTGGAGTGGAAAGGACCAGCCAGTGGTGTTACAAAGCCTTTTTTTTTTTTTTTTTTGAGATGGGGTCTCACTCTGTCACCTCGGCTGGAGTGCAGTGGTGCAACCTTGGTTCACTGCAACCTATGTCTCCTGGGCTCAAGAGATCCTCCCACCTCAGCTTCCCAAGTAGCTGGGACCACAGGTGTGTGCCATGATGCCCGGCTAATTTTTGTATTTTTGATGGAGACAGGGTCTCACCATGTTACCCAGCCTGGTCTTGAACTCCTGAGTTCAAGCAATCTTCCCACCTCGTCCTTACAAAGCCTTTTAATCTAGCTCCAGCCATGGCATTAATTACCCTCATGAGCTCAAATCCCAGGCTTCTGGCATTCTAGCATCTCTGGGCCTTAGTTTTCTCGTCTTTGTTTATTTATTTTTATACTTTTTGAGACAGGGTCTCAGTCTGTCTTCCAGTCTGGAGTGCAGTGGCCTGATCACAGCTCACAGCAGCCTTGACCTCCCAGGCTCTAGCTTTCCTCCCACTTCATTCTCCAGAGTAAGTGGGACCACAGGTGTGCACCATCATGCCCAGTTAATCTTTAAAATTTTTTTTGTAGAGACAGGGTCTCACTATGTTCCTCAGGCTGGTCTCAAACTCCTGAGTTCAAGCAGTCCTCCTGCCTTGGTCTCCCAAAGTGTTGGGATTACAGGTGTGAGCCACTGCTCCTGGCCAGTTTTCTTATTTTTAAAATAAAAAAATGGTTACTACATTAGTGAGTCCAAGGGGCAGCACAAGTAGCATATCTGAATTGGGAACAGTCCCCCATAAGAGCATGCATCATATGTGATCTGGAAAAGCACACTGGATTTTATCATCAAGTTCTGTATTTGTAAAATGAACAAAAATTGTACACATTGATTTTGGAGTTCAAGCTACTGAAAGTAAAGCTCAACCAAATTTTCTTGGCTGATGGGACTAAGGTCAAAAGAGGCAGAGAAACCTGGGACTAGATGATTTACAGATTGATGATTCTGCAACTCTATTTAGAATATTGACAAATCAGTGTTTGATTGCTACTTTTAAACACTGCACCTTATTAGGAGGTGCAGGAAAAACAGCTCATACCAAAGACCTGTGTTTCAGCAAATAAAGAAGCTTTAAACAAAATAAATCCCAACAAAGATAGTGTGCCATACATGATGATGCCCTTGGTAAGCCTTCTTCCTGAACTGCACACAAGTAGCTGATTGAGGCTCACTTGTTCAGGTATGGATTTACCATAGCATTCAGGGCAAGGCTCAGTGGTGCACCCCCTCACAGGGAGCACTCAGCTGGCTTGGTTATTAGATCCCAAGCGGATAATAATTACAAGCCCAGTAGCCCCCTACTGAAATTCCCCTGCCTTTTAGGAGCTTTCAAAGAGTCAGAAATTAATACACAGGGAGCACCGTGTTCCTATGAAGTATTTTCCCTTTGTGATTAATGCTTAGATGGAGAAGTACAGCAAACACCTGAAAGCATTGTGGCAGAAAGGACCCATGACCTAATGCATGAAAAACACAAAACGGACCACCTGCTCTGTAGTAAGTAATGCTATATTGAAGTACAGTGTCAATAATACTGATTTGGTTAGTTCATACATTTCTACTTGTTTCTCTGAAGTGTTCTTTTCTGAGAGCTAATTGTTGAAGCCATGGAAATGACAATTTTACATCTTTGTTTTAGAATTTTATGTTCTGCTTACATGGATTTTTAAGGATCAGTTCTCATTTGTACTAGGATTTCAGTAATTCTCAGTCCCTTTAGCAGAAGTTACTGTGTGTCAAAGGGTAAAGGTAAAAGACAAATCTCTACCTCGAATGCCAAGGAAATAATTTCATATCAGCACTGGATCTCAGGCAGCTGTGCATGAGTCTTGGAAGGAAGTGTCCAGACTCTGGGGAAGTGGAGCTGGGAGAGCAGCCCTCCTTGGAGGCTGCAGGGCAGGCGCTCAGGCAGGTTGAGGATTCCAACTCCCATGGTGGAAGGGAACCGGTATGACATAGAGACGGATCAGAGCTTGGGTTGTGAAGTGAACTGGAACGGACAAGTATCCCAGCTCCGCTTTCTTCTAGCTTCATGACCCTTGGGCAAGTCACTTTGTGAGCTTCAATTTCTTTATCCTGTGAAATAGGGTTAGAAACTATACCTACTCCATAGGAGTATCCTTCATGTTAAATGAGTTAATGCATGTAACACTCAGCAAATGCTTGGTACAAATAGGGTAATAGATACTATTACTATTATTATTTATAAGTGAATCAAGTAGGATCTTTGTTTTAATGATCTGCCAAACCAAGGAAGCAAGTCAGTAGAAGGTACCTGGCAGAGAGAGTGGCCGTCACATCCTCAGGCTTAGGTGCTGATATGGTTTGGCTCTGTGTCCCCACCCAAATCTCATCTTGAATTGTAATCCCTATGTTTGGAGGTAGGGACCTGATGGAAGGTGTTTGGAACATGGGGGTGGTTTCCCCCATCCTGTTCTCGTGATAGTGAGGGAGTTGTCACAAGAACTGATCATTTTAAAAGTGTTTGGCAGTTCCTCCTTCCTTCACTCTCTCCCTTGCTCTTGCTGCCTTGTGAAGAAGGTGTCTGCTTTCCCTTTGCCTTCTGCCATGCTTGTAAGTTTCCTGAAGCCTCTCCAGCCATGCAGAACTGTGAGTCAATTAAATCTCTTTCCTTTGTAAATTACCCAGTCTCAGGCATTTCTTTATAGCAGTGTGAAAACAGACTAATACAGGTACCTAGGAAAGGTCCGCCAGCATCTCAACAGATTGTTCCGATTATCTCCAGGTCCAAAGTTTTCTGTCCTCTGCCCTGGTTTATAATCTTGTTGGTTGGGCTAGGATTGCCCAGAATGTACCAGGCATAGAGGTTCCCCATGTGTTATTGTAGAAAGCCCAGCTCCCCCTCACACAGAATTTCTCAATTCTGGCTGCACATTACCATCCTCTGGGGGCTGTTATAATAAACTAATGCCTGTGCCCCACCTGTCAGACATTCTGCTATAATTATTTGGGGAGAAGATTCAGGCATTGGTATTTTAAAAGATCACTGGTGGATTCTAATATGCAACCAGCTTGGAAAACTACTGACTAGCAGTTTAATAAGTAAACTAAGCATTGTTTTAATGCACTAAAATCAGTAAACATCTGGTAGCACAGTAATTGCCAAACCCATAATTCTTTAGTAACCAATTGGGATAACTGGTTCTTCTTTTTGACCTCTTTTCAGCACTGGACATGGCTGACCTCTCTCTTCTTTTTGAAACTCTCTTCTCCATGGATTTCCCTACTCCCTCTCTCCTGGTTCACCTCCCACTGCTCAGCTTGTTCCTTTACAGTCTTTTTAGCAGCTTTGCATCTTTCACACACCTTGGACATTGACAGTTGTTATTTTAAATATAAGAAAACTGGCCAGGAGCAGTGGCTCACACCTGTAATCCCAACACTTTGGGAGACCAAGGCAGGAGGATTGCTTGAACTCAGGAGTTCGAGACCAGCCCGAGGAACATAGTGAGACTCTGTCTCTACAAAAAAATTTTAAAGATTAATGGGGCATGCTATTCCTGGCATGCTTTTTATTCATTCTAAACCCTCTGATTTAGGCTGGATATGGTGGCTGACACCTGTTATCCCAGCACTTTGGGAGGCTGAGGTGGGTGGATCACCTGAGGTCAGGAGTTCGAGACCAGCCTGACCAACATGGTGAAACCCAGTCTCTACTAAAAATACAAAAATTAGCCAGGGGTGGTGGCATGTGTCTGTAGTCCCAGCTACATAGGAGGCTGAGACAGGAGAATTGCTTGAACCGGGGAGGTGAAGGTTGCAGTGAGCCAAGAATGCGCCACTGCACTGCAGCCTGGGCAACAGAGCAAGACTCTGTCTCAAATAATAATAATAATAAATAATAATAATAAAATAAATAAATAAACCTTCTGATTTAGTTCCAGCTCCCAGTTTCCACCACCACCTATATGCCAATGATTTCCGTACTTGAAGTTTTAAGCCTCCATCTATCTTGGGACCCAGATATGTAATTCCAGGCATTGATGTAGATATTTCTGGGCCACCAGAACTATAGCTGTTCAGCAATCTTTTTATCTATCCCTAATTGCCATGATGGCCATTACTAATCTTTACTTCTTCCTTACATCCCTTTTTAATCTCATCTCTCCTCATTCCCAACGAATCAACTGGCTTTACCACCATGTCTTCCCAATTACAGGTTCTAAAGTATGAAACTGACTGACTTCCAACTATCATGAAACTTACCAAATTAAGGCCCATCTCTACCGCGTTTCTTATTCTGCAAACAGAAGAGCTGTGCCTTCCACTTTCTGAGGTCAACCTCTTCACTTGGGTTCTGAAACCCATCCTTCTGCTTCCTTTTATTTAGACATTGAACAAATGCTTACTAATTATCTGCTGTGTGTTAGATATTGTAATAGGCAGACAATACAACAGTTCACCAGGGCTTATAGTCTAGTGGAGGAAGACAGAAAAGGCACTGACTAGTAAATAAATATGTGATACATCAGGTGATGATAAATGCAAGAAGGAGAGTAAAACCATGTAAGGAGTGAGAGAGTGACTGGGGCTGCTGTTTTCTATGGTGTGGTCAGATCCCTAAATGAACTGAGTGACTTCTAGGGGCAGAGGGGCAGGAGTAGCAGAGGTAGGAACATGGTTGGCAAATTTGAGGGACAGCAAGCAGGCTGGTGAGTGGGATGGCAGGGTAAAGAAGTAGAAGATAAAGTATAAGAGGCAGCTGGGACAAGCTTAAGCATGGCTTTGGCTTAAGTCCATTACCTTAGTAAGGACTACAGATATCTGAGTGCTGTGAGAAGCATTTGGAGGGTTGAGCAAAGGAAAAATATGATCTGACTTCTGTTTTTATAATGAATGTTTTGGTTGCTGAGTAAAGAAGATGGTAGGAGGGGTAAATGTGGAGTCAGAGTGCCCAGTTAGGAGGTTAAGTCCATAGGAAGGGTAATGCTGGCTTCAATTAGGGATGTAGCAATAAATTAGTGAGAAGTGGTCTAATACAGGATTTATTTTAGAGTTAGATATTATAGCACTTGCTCTTGGATTAGCTCTTGGATGTGCAATATGAATGAAAGGAATCAAAGATGCTTTGTATATTTTTGGCTTGAGCCATTGAGAGCGTGGAGTTGCTGTTTCCTAAAGTCTTGGAAAGAAGTCACTTTTGGGAAGAAAAATCAAAATTTGGGACATGTTATTTCAAGAAGACTATTAGCTATTCAAGTGGGGATGTCTGTTAAGCATTGGCTATACAAATTTGGAGTTCAAGAAGGAGTTCCAGGCTAGGTATATAAATTTGAGAGTAATCAGCATATACTGATAAGATTGTATATTTAAACTATGAGACCGCATGAGCTCCTCTAGAACAGTGAATATAGATACTGAAGAGAAGAGATCTGCCAACTGCACACTGTGGTCCCTCAATGTTGAGGCTTGGGAGAGAGAGAGAAGACAAGCCAGCATGGGGGACTGTGATAGGGTGGCAGGAATCAAGATTAGGCAGTGTCCCCAAAGCCAAGTGAGGAAAGTATCTCCCGCAGAAGGGAGTGAACTGTGGTCAACTGTGTTAAATACCATGGCTGGCCAAGCAAGGTAAAGTTGATTCTTAAATCACCCTCTGCATGTGACAGTTGAGAGATCCCTGGTGGCCTTAACAAGAGCAGTTTCCAGGGAGTGTGGAGGAGAAAAAGCCTGCTTTGGAGTGTGTTCAGGGGACAATAGGGCAAGAAGAAGTGGAGGGAGACTGCAAGTTTGGGCAACTCTTCTCAGGAGTTTTGCTCTAAAGAGGAGTAGAGAAATGAAACTGTAGCTTGAGTAGTCAACAGACTTTTATTAAATTTAGGAGATGCAATAGCTGAAGGAAGGACCCAGTAGAAAGGAAATCATTAGTGGGCCTTGCACCATCGGTTATTTTCTTTCTCCATTGCACCCCATAACCCCAGTGTCTCCTTTGGTTCTAACTCTTTCACCTCAGTTTATAAATATGTGCAGTCTTCCTTTCTTTTAATTAAGTGAAATGTCAGGAGTTTCAGAACCAGACCATCCTGAGTTCAGAGTTGGCTTCTGCCGCTTTCTTGGCTGTGTGACTCAATCCCTTTGAGCCTCTGTATTTTCATCTGTAAAATGTGGGAGATAACCCTAATGAGTCTATTGTGAAAATTAAGTGAGATGACGATAAGAAACTTATTGCCTAGTTTTTAATAGGAGTGCCACAAATGTTCTCCTACAAAAGAGCAGAGCAGGGAGGTTTATTTAATTAAATTAATTAATTAATTTTTTTAGAGGTGATGTCTCACTCTGCTGCCCAGGCTGGAGTGCAGTGGCACAACCATAGCTTACTGCAACCTTGAACTCCTGGCTTCAAGCAATCCTCCCACCTCAGCCTCCCAATGTGCTTTATAGGAATTATAGGTGTGAGCCACCATGGCCAGCTGGTAGGTGGGTTTAATTTGATGTTCCTCATCCCAAAGTAGATTTGTTTTCTGTCCTCTTGTCTAAAGAATTTGAAAAAGTAGTATCTACTCAATGATTCCTCTCCACTTCTCATTTGCTCCTCAACCCTTTGCAATCTGCACCCGCATCACTCTATAGGAACTGTCCTCGCCAAGGCCATGACTTACACCAACAGTTACTTTTCAGTCCTCACCCTAGGTCACGTCTCTAAAAACTTGAGAAAGTTATCACTCTATTCTTTTTGTCCTTTGGCTTCTAGGACACAATGCTCTTTTATTTCTCCTCCATCTTCTCTGACTCAAGGAAGGTCTAAAACATATAGGCTCAAACCAAGGCATATGGGCAACCTGGGAAGTCTCAAAGTTTTCTGTCCTTTAAAATTGTTTTATTGCCTGGACACGGTGGCTCATGCCTGTAATCTCAGCACTTTGGGAGGCCAAGGCAGGTGGATCACGAGGTCAGGAGTTCGAGACCAATCTGGCCAATATAGTGAAACCGCATCTCTACTAAAAATACAAAAAGTTAGCCAGGTGTGGTGGTGTGCACCTGCGATCCCAGTTACTTGGGAGCCTGAGGCACGAGAATCACGGGAACCTGGGAGGCAGAGGTTGCAGTGAGCCAAGATCACGCCATTGCATTCCAGGCCCAGTGACAGTGTGAGACTCCGTCTCAAAAAACAAAACAAAACAAACAGTTTTATTTGAATGTTATCAGTATTGTGTTGTGGCTAAGAAAAAGGGCTCTAGATTTAGACTCCCTGTGTTTAAATTTCATCTCTTCCATCTTGCTCACCTATAAAATGGACATCATAATGTCTACATCATAGGAGAGTTGTGAGCATTCATTGTTAGTCTGTGTAGTATTTAGATAGCGCCTGGAGTAGAACAAGTGTTAGTGATGATGTTGATAATGACTGTGATGATGGTGGTAATGATGATGGAGAGAGGGAAGTGTGTACTGACTAGATAGGATTGAAGGCAAAAAAGCCTCCCAGCTTTCACTACCCCAGCCCTACCCCAAGCAGTTCAGCTTTGGCCCCAACCCTACAGAGTCTACTCAGGAAAACAAAAGCCAAGTAGTTAATCTGACCTGTCTTCCTAGGAAGGCAGTTTGGTGACTATGTTATTAGAGAGTATATCCTTTAGAGGTGTCATTGCTTTCCCAAGTGGGCTATCCAAGTATTCCATTCAGTCATATATGGTAAGCCCCTCTAGAGGAGTTTTTGGTAAATACATTTTTCTCTATTGATATGGTTTGGCTGTGTCCCCACACAAATCTCATCTTGAATTGTAGCTCCCATAACTGCCACATATTATGGGAGGGACTCAGCAGAATATAATTGAATCATGGGGGAGGTTTCCCCCATACTGTTCCTGTGGTAGTGAAGAAGTCTCATGAAATCTGATGGTTTTATAAGGGGAAACCCCTTTCATTTGGCTCTCATTTCTCTCTTTGCCTGCTGCCTTCCATGTAAGACATGACTTGCTTCTTCTTGCCTTCTGTCATAATTGTGAGGCCTCCCCAGCCATGTGGAACTGTGAGTCTATTAATCCTCTTTCCTTTATAAATTACCCAGTCTCAGGTATGTCTTTATTATCAGCCTGAGAACAGACTAATGCATCTATTTTATTGCATTTACATGGATATTTTACCAACTGGTGATGCCTGATGACCCAGAGAGCTGCCCTGGATGAATAGCCCCCACAGTGCAACTCAATTCTGACAATGCCATAGTTTCTTTCAATGGCTCTTCTCTGTTTGACTTCCTCTAAATGCCTTTTTACTTCTAAATATTGATGTTTACTAGAATGTCATTGTTGGCTCTTTTGTCTGCTTATCTAATTTGGTGGTGCTCTAGACAGTCCATGTTGAAGTTTCAAGTGGCCCATGTATCCCTGAAATTACATGCAAGACTGGGTATATATGTGCATTTTTCCAGGAGAGGACCCGTGTTTTCATCCATATTCTCAAAGGCAGCTCAAAAATGAAGAACCAAGCTAATCCAAGTTATTCATTTTCATAAGCCTTTGGGGTCTTTGCCAGTCCTATTCTGTAGACTGGATGAGTTAATCTCTTCCTTTTGGTGAGATGAATAACTTTCTAAATCTATATGAAATAAAAGATATCCCCCCTTTGGGTAGAAACATGTCAATACTTCCTGTGTAACCCTTTAAACCTTCTCCTGGCCATGGCAAGCCTGACTTTTATATTCAAGTAGTATACGTATGTGATTAACTGTACACATTTCTGTTTATCTAGCAGGATTATATAATTCTTGTGTGGCATAACTAAATTTTGTTCATTTTTACATCCCTCAGTGCCTAGTCCAGTGCTTGGGACATGGTAGGTGCTCTGTAAACACTGATTGGAGGCCTGACTGCATTTTATATTCCTCAATTAATGATGAAGCAATATAGCCAGATCATGCTGCATTTATAAGTATTTAGCAGACAATATTACCAGGGTAGATTATGAATACGTATAGCAAAAACGCTATTGAGACAGAAATTCCTAAGGGAAATATATAAAATCACCCTATTTCTTTCACAGAAAAAAAAATACAAAATCAGGTTTTTCCACCATTATTAGGCTCCAATAAATATTCATCCTTTATCCCTCCAGGGGATCCCAAGCTTCCTGCAAGGGAAATGAGTGCTAAATGTGCCCAGTAAATCACTCTGTTTGTTTTCACCCTGTAGACAGAATGGCGATCTTAGTTGATTTTTTTCTTCCGACAGCCTAACGATTCAAATAACTTAAGATTTTTAATCCCCAAGACTAGAGGAGGACATGGTAAAATTGTTCATCCACCGCTTCCTGTTTAGAAAAAAACTGCCCATGAGGAAGGTAATAGCCACCTCTTGGGAGCAAAAAGCCCCACAACCTCCCAAAAGGGCAAAGCCCAGCTCTCTGAACTAACAATGCTGCCACCGCTCCCAACAAGGAAATTGCAAATCACTGCAGGGTGGAAGCTGGGCCTGCTTAACGCACCCTGAGGTCCTGGTTCCCATAATAAGTATTTTAAGTTAGGGGAGGCGTCAATCTCAATGACCAAAGTGCTAGATGAGTAAAGGTTGATCCTAATGAGGTTGCAGGCAGAGCTTCCATTCCTCCAATTGACTCTCCTCTCTCTCCACTCCTAGCAGCACCCCTGACCCCATCTCAACAGTGGCCCCGGGGAAGACTGGGTTAGGGAATACACTTGACTTGGTACAAATCCACTGTGGCCCAGCAAACAGTATGCAAACCATACCCTACTTACTGTGTATGGAGGACAGAACAATCGAGAGTGCCAATGTAAAAAATGATGCTGCAGGCATGACAGTGGGCCCCCGTGTGTCCTTTTCCTTAAGGGTAATTAACTGTTCGGATTCATACCTAAAAATAGGCACGCTACTGAAACAAGTTGTTGATGACCTAAGACAAGGCCAACCTGCCTGGCTCAGAGATACCTGAGTGTGTCCATCTTTTCAGGTAAATTAACATGACTGGCATTGGGATTTCAGCTTAAAAGGCAGAGAGTTGGAGCAGTCTACAGTGTTATACAATTTGTGCGTGACTGGCAGCAGGTGGAGAGTAAATAATATCTGCAAAAGAAGAAACTGCAGGCATTTGAATCAAGTGGCAGCAAGCTTACCACTTAGGCATGTTGTTAATAAAATACGTTGGTGTGATTTGGTTAAGTCCCTCCACCCCACCACCTTATTTTTTTTTTAACTTAAATCAATTTCTTAGAGCTAAAAGGCATGCAGCTTAGCAAAAACAGCAGGAAATTGCTTTAGAATGCTTATACTTCATTTCAGGGAATTTTTTTTTTAATCTGAAGTAAATAAGCCATATAGTTCTTCCCTGCCATAACAAAACATACAATGACCCCATCTGTGATGAGGCAGAACCAGGGTTGCCTTGCCTGGGGGAAAGTTTAGAAATTTCTGAGAAAAACCCATAAATTGAAGTTGTAAGCTGTGAGGTGGAAGCCTTGCAAATGATTTGCAGTTTACAGCAGTTACTCAAAGCAGTCAGATTCTAACTGGGGGTCAAGAGAGCGTCCATGTTTTACAGATGGATAAACTGAGGCATAGAGCTTAAAGACCGGCTCTTTAGAGTTTAAAGCCATGCCATGTCACTGATAGAGACTCCTTCCTGGGAGGAAAAAGACAAAAGACCTCTCTCCAGCAGAGGCTAGTATAACCTCAGAGAAATCTATCTGAAGATATGAAAGCATCACTAACAACCAAAAAATAAAAGATCTAGAAGGCTGTGGTGGGAGGATCACTTGAAACTAGGAGTTTAATACCAGCCAGAGAAACAGAGAGAACCTGTCTCTACAAAAAATACAAAACATTAGATGGCCAAGGGTGGCAAGTGCCTGTAGTCCTATCTACTCAAGAGGCTGAGGTGGGAAGATCACTTGAGCCCAGGAGTTCAAGGTCACGGTGAGCTACAGTTGAGCCACTGCACTGTAGCCGGGATGACAGAGAGAGATACTGTCTCAAAAAAACAAAACAAACAAAAACAAACAAACAAAACTAGAATGTAGGTAGGAATCAGGATAACTGGGAAGCAAATTAACCTCGACCTGGGACTTCTTTAAATGAGTTTGCACAGCTGTCTCAATCCATGTAAATCTCTTGTTATATAAACCCACTCACTTGATCAACAGAAACAGAGGGAGTCCAGATGTTAGCGGATAGAGCTCTCATGCACCCAGCTTCCCTAGCTTGGAATACGCCAGCACTGTCTAAAATGAAGCTAAGCAAAACCCAAACAAAACCAACACCCAAACACCAAAAGCAAACCCAAACAAAATCCCAACCAAACAAGTTACAAACAACTAAGGATATTTTCTAAACCCATTGACTGACTCATGACTTTCTGGTCTCCCTGGCTCAGATTTCTGAGAGCTTTAAAAAATTGTGCCAAACAAGGAAGTACCATTGCTTAATTAGGTCTTGCCAATTATTTTGCCTGATTTTACTTTTTTTCTACCTCCCTGCTCCATTCCAGTGACATAGTAGGCTTCCCTCGACTTTCTACATCAGCACACTGTATCAGGTAGTGGACTTCCTGGACAAGCTCTATACCACCTTTGGGAAAAATTATAGACCATTATGATGTCTACAACATGGAGACGATGGGAAATGCTTGTGACTATTGATGTATGGGTGGGTATTTTAGACATGGAATAATATTAATTTTTAGTGGAGACAAAGCTTGGAATTAATGGAAAGTAACCATTTATGTAAACATTCGAACTTTCTTAAGTTGTAAGCTCCTAGAAAGCAAATCTTCTTAGTAGTCTCAATTGTGCCTATGGCTTTTCTCATTGTTGTCCCCGAGGAAATGTCTACTGCTTTGATTTGAGAGCCATCCTTTTCAATAATAAGGGAAACAAACTGGTTTTATATTTTTACTTTTGTGGTCAGACTTTCCGGCACTTAGCTCAATGATCTCCAACCTTTTACTGACATAGGTATTTTCCTTTCCTCATGGCCAGTGAGGAAAGGCGGTGAATTTTGAAAGACACACAGAACAAATATTTAGATAAAATTATAATATCAATAATCATTACCGACTGTAATTTCATTTTTAATTGTATAAATTGAGAAGGGAACAATGAAATGTTTTGTTAGCCATCAGGCAAACTGAAAATAGATTTAGAAAGTATTTAAGATTCATTTTTTCAATGCACAGTAATTGAGAAACCTGTATGTGCCAGGCACTGTGTTAGCACTGGAGCTCTAAAGGGCAGAAGGCTGAATGTGATAGATGGATCTCTACCTTCAGGGTGCAGTCTAGTAACACATAGAAGGACTGAGACCAATAGCCATGTTGAAGAGGAGACGATGGTTCTCCCATCACCTTCATTACTCCACCTGCTGCTCATGAAGGTTGCTGCGGTGAGTCACTGCAACCCACACAGTTCCTTTTCTTTCCATTCATTACTGAAAAATACTGCATTATGAGGTTAATGTTGATGAAACTATTGTGTTCCTACAATTCCTTGTGTTTCTTTTCATTACCATAAAACACTGCATCATGAAATTAAAGTTGCTATCATACATGACAATGTAATTAAACCACATTTACTTTGAATTTTACTATTATCTCTGGGCTTTTCTTCCCCTTGCCTCTAATTCAGAACCATTGAATGGGTGTTTAGACCCAAACCTGCTCCAGCAAAGATAATAACTTTTAATATATCTAACAATTAATGGGTAAATACAGGGCACTAACTACATAGTAAGCAGGGATTTTGATTTTCAATAACCCTCAGATTTAAAGGATTTCCCTTTATTCTCCAAAGGTAAGCTCATTATACAGAAATGTAGGTGAGGGTCATAACACTATCTCTGATGGCCACCGCTGAAGGAAAAAAAAAAAAAAAAGAAAATTGAAATAATCTTTTGGCTAAATTTGAAGTAAATTTTGCTTGGAGTTGATGAAAAATATATTAAGTACTTAGGCATTTAGGACTTGATTGTAACTAACTTTCTGCTTTGTTATACTTTAGGGATGTGCTGATTAACTTGTGTTTTGGTCGAAATCTGAAGTGATGCTGAATCTTCGTCCTTTAATGTTGTCTGTTTTATTGTTGAACAATTTTATCATGCATCGTGTGAACTTTTATGCTTATGGTGTGTATCATCACAGCACTGGACAATAATGACTCACACAGTAGAATAACATAACTGTATACTTGCATCAAGGGTAGTTAAAACATGGTAAGGTTTTCTCATGTCTTTATTAATAATGATTAAAAAATTAATTATTCACCTCTGAGTTTGGCCAGTGGAATTATCTGGAATGGTGGTTTTGGGGCTAAGTTCTATGATATCTCATTGCATGAAAACTAACAATAAAACCGTCATGTATCAAATACTTAGTCATATGTCAGGCATTGTGCTAAGGGCTTGACATAGATTATTTGATTATGGTATATATCTTCACAACATTTCTATAACCCAGATATTATTATAATCCCCATTTCCCAGATGGGAATGCCAAGACTCAGTTACTTGTCCAAGGTCACGTAGCTTATAAATGCAGAGTCAGGTCTTAGACCTGTCTGATTTAAGAGCACATGCTACTGATCACTTACTACTTTGCTTCTTGTGGTCAGTAGGGAATTTAGAGATTTACTCCAACTGAAGAGGAACCTTAGGCCCAGGAAAGTTAAAAGACTTAGCTAGGTTCCCTTTGTTAGTTGGCAAATTTGAACCGCCCATGACTTAGATCTCCTTAGCTCATGTCCTTTTTGCTCAAGGTGAAATAGGCAATTTGGGCTATAGGAACATCTGCAATTTCTATTTATCAATATGGAAAACCCTAGAGTTGTCCTGTCCTCTTCCTGGCTTTTTCATCTTGTATCCAGACGGCCAGTCAGCAAATCCTGTTGATTCTTTTACCACGGTGTCTTCCATGTGGTAGCGCTTATGTGAGATAATGGTTATGAGTCTGATTCCAGCTGGGTTCAAATCTCAGCTGTGCCACTTCCTGCTGGATGATTTTGGGCAAATTAGTTAGTCTCTCTGGGCTTCAGTTTTTTGGTCTGTAAAATGGAGAGGAGAATGTCGCCTGCCATATAAGATTGTTTTGAGGATTAAAAGCACATGGAGCGCTTAGGATGCCTGGCATAGCATATGCTCAGTCAGTGTTATTATTCACACAGCTTTTCCTTTTCTGCCTCAGGGCTGGTTCAGATCTTCATCTTCCCACATCTGGACAAAACACAGTCCTCTAAGCATCCTGTCTCTTACACTATTATGAGATGAAGCTTGTCTTGTTCTCTTGCTCAAGAATATAACTGCCTATGGCATCATATCCAGACTCTCCAGGCTTACATTCAATGCCCCACATGACTAACTTCTTCAGCCTTTGCGATGAGTTAAGACAACTCTACAGTTTGGGGGCACAGTCCTCACATGACTTCCCTCACTTCTGACATGAGCTGCAAATTTGGTAATGCGCAGGCTCATCCTTATTTCAGACCAGCTGGCTACAAATCTGGGGACTCCCACAACCACCCTCAAGTTCAATAATTTACTAGAATGACTCACAGAACTCAAGGAAGTGCTATACTTCTTATTGTAGTTTTATTACAGTAAAAGGATACAAATTAAATTCAGCTTAGAGAGGAGACACATGGGGCAGAATCCAGGCGGGGTCTAGTGCCAGCTGCCAGTCATTTTCTCCCTATCGGGTCATGGACAACACTGCTTCCTCCTGGTCACCATGTGCAACGAGACACACAAAGTGTTGTCAACCATGAAAGATCACCTCAGCCTTTGGTGTTCAGAGATTTACTGGGGCCTGATCACATCCTGCCTGAGTGGCTGACCTTGAGTTTCCAGCCACTTCTGGAGACTGGAGATCAAGCTAATATCTTTAGTTGTTCCTCCAGAGGTCATAAATGACACTGCGTGGCCCTAAGGCCACAATCACAAATCACATTGGTAGGCTGTTAGTAGCCAAAGCTCCCCAGCAACAAAGACTCAGGCAGGGCATTCTAGGGGCCTAGGAACCAACTCCCAGTACCTTAGGGTAAAAGCCAGACTTCTTTTTGGGTAAGGTTAATTGTTTACTACACAGCCTTATTTCCCATTGCTCTTCTGCAGGACATCTCCTGCCAAACAAGGTAATACTCAAACGGTCCCATACCATGCAGTTTTTTTTTCACCTGTAATATTTCTCCCTTTACTTCTAAAATGCAGAAGCACTTTGCATTCCATGAGGCTCAGCTTAAGTCTTACTTACCCCTAGAAACTTTGCCCAAAGCTTTTCTAATCACCCACTTTTCTAACTAGTTGGTGTATGCCTTGTGTGGCTTTGCAATGTGGCTGGTATTCATAGACTTCCCTGAGCCTTATATCTCTCTGAGCCTATGTGTCCACCCAAAGTAATTGCTTAGAAAATGCTTATTATTGATGATAATTTTCCTTGTGTCTAAGGCATTCGATAAATCTCTTGACATGAACTGAACTGTTTCTTCATGATTGTAAATTAGGCATCTTTGTTGGGTGTATCTTATTCTTTCTGATGATTTGGGCTTTAATTTAGATATGTCACTAAGTGAATTATTAGATCCTAAAACAATCAAATTCAAATTGACCTTCAGAATGTTTGCAAATGAAAACAACAAGTGGTGGGTTAACATAAGTGGTCCCCAAGAGGTCAAAAAATGTTTCCCTGGAACCAATGCACTGAGTGAGACTGGCTTGGCAGTTATTTTTACTGTGACCCCTTGTGGGTTAGACCCTATAAAAGTTGGGTAAATCTCATCCAGAGAGCTCTTTTGAGAAATAATGATGCCTTGTTTTAGTATCCCGAGATCCCAGGATTGAGCACTTAGTTAGGAAGGACCACTGTCTGCAGGGTAGAAAGATGGGTTTTTGCTACTGCTGGGTAGACAAACAAGTTCCCTCACCCCCAAAACAGAACACCTTTACCAAGGTGTCTGAATGACTGGCTCCATTCAGACATGGCCTCAATGTCCATGCCTCAGTTGTCATGACAACCGTGTATGTGTGTTTGTGTGTGTGCACATACATGTGTGTCTGCTGAATGGTGTCTGGAAGCAGCACCTTCAGCATCCAGGCAGAAATAGGTGGGGTGTGCTGAACAGGGAGTGTCTACCCACTCATTTAAGCAACAGTGTCAGAAAAGGTTGAAGATATTATTCAGCATCAGAATTTCAATTAAACTCCCAATCAGCTATTCCATCATTCATACGTTCAAGGTTAGTGTCTAAGTATCTAAGTTCTTATTCTTTATTGTACCAATACACACTATGATTCAGCAGTGTTCTGATCCTGCTGATACTGCTCTATTAACCTTTTCTGCTCTTTCTAGTCTCATCTCTTGCAGAAACCTCTAACTCTCTGTATACCACTCTGGAGAACCTCTTACAAATTACAGTTTCAAGTTTCTAAGATTTTTGTCATGCATCTCTAAAGAAGGCCAGCTTTTTCAAGACACATCATTCAGCTTTGAGCTAGGAAATCCATTTTGTCCATAGCTTGGAGCATTGAGCCCAGGACTCGATCTTTATGAATTTTCCATATCCCTGGAAGCCCTTTGACTCTTGCATGCTATTGGACTGCTATTTCATAAGTACTTCTCTCATTGCACTAAATCGTCTCGTGGAAGTCAAATAATTAACTTTCAGGACATCATTTCATTATTTCTTGTGGCCCTCAATAGCTTTGACCCAGAGTTCCTATTCTCAGTATGAAAGAACTATAAGAAATTGACTCAAACATGGCTGGCTGCTCCCAAACTGTTTCTCTTGTTTGTCTTGAGACTGAGTATTAAGAACAAGGCTATGTCAGAAAGACAAGGAAATCAATGCTGCTTGAACATAAGAAGGAAGAAGCACTGACTAATAGTTGTCAAGAGTCAGTCTGTTTACTTCATGGACCGGAAACATTTATTGGATCAGTTCATGTCCAGAGCACCCAACCTTGTAGTGACTTTTGCTCTCAAAGACCCATTCCTTGAAATGTTTTTCAAACCCTCTGCCCTAAATAAACTTTCCAAGCTGCAAGGGAAGGTACAGGTAAAGGTTTTGGATAGAAAACCCTTGCCAGCAGCCTTAAAAAAATTACAGTCTGCTTTAGTTCATTCAAGTGTGCCATTTTTTCATGTATTTTCAAATATGGTGGCATCTAGGGTGCACAAGGCCAAAGGGATCCTCCATGCTAGGGAAATAGCAAACATGGCCCTGGACCTAGTACCTGTGCAGAAAACTTTTGAGATTCCACATAAGTCCAATGTCCACCCGAAAATATGTGCTGGGATCCACTCGGGTAAGACAAGATAGGATGTGTAAAGAGCCCACTCTGATAGGATGTATAAAGAGCTACTCTGATAGGATGGGTAAAGAGCCCACTCTGAAAGGATGTGTAAAGAGCCCACTCTGATAGGATGTGTAAATAGCTACTCTGATAGGATGTGTAAAGAGCCCACTCTGATAGGATGTATAAAGAGCTACTCTGATAGGATGTGTAAAGAGCCCACTCTGATAGGATGTGTAAAGAGCTCACTCTGATAGGATGTATAAAGAGCCCATTCACATAGGATGTGTAAAGAGCCCACTCTGATAGGATGTGTAAAGCCCACTCTGATAGGATGTGTAAAGCCCACTCTGATAGGATGTATAAAGAGCCCACTCTGATAGGAGGTATGAAGAGCCCACTCTGATAGGATGTGTAAAGAGCTCACTCTGATAGGATGTGTAAAGAGCCCACTCTGATAGGATGTGTAAAGAGCCTACTCTGATAGGATGTGTAAAGAGCCCACTCTGATAGGATGTATAAAGCCCACTCTGCGCTCCTCCCTATACTCCACAGTGCATCAATTTTCAGAGGAGAAAAAGTGACCTAATCTTTGCAGGCCGAAAGAAGAGTGAATATTTAAACCCCATGTTTGTAATGTTAACATTTTGCCAAACATTTTCCTTGGAAATGAAAGCAATGGAGATAAATGAACATTTATTTATTTATTTAAGACAGAGTCTTGCTTTGTTGCCCAGGCTGGAGTGCAGTGGCACCATCTTGGCTTACTGCAACCTCCGCCTCTTGGGTTCAAGTGATTCTTGTGCCTCAGCCTCCCGAGTAGCTGGGATTACAGGTGTACGTCACCACACCTGGCTAATCTTTGTATTTGTAGTAGAGATGGGGTTTTGCCATTTTGGCCAGGCTGGTCTCGAACTCCTGGCCTCAAGTGATCTGCCCACCTTGGCCTCCCAAAGTGCTAGGATTACAGGTTTAAGCTGCCACGCCTTGCATGAATATTTATTAATCACCATTTATTATGTGCCAGGAATAATGTCAGGCAGTCACACATACAATCTGTTTTGATCCAAGATTGAAAGATTATTATTATTAGCTTTGTACTTTTTTACTGAGGTCAACATATACACAGTAAAGTGCACTCATCTTAATTGCACAGCTCGATGAATTTTTATCTATGTATACAAACATGGAACCAGCACCTAGATGAAAATAAAGAACAATTCCAGCACCCTAAGACTCGATCACACTCCTTTTCCCATCTCCTCCTTCCTGCAACAATCAATACATCTGACTCCTGCCAGAGGTAACCACTTATCTAATTTTTATCTCCACAAATTAATTTTACCTGTGTCTTAGGCTGTTTTCTGTTGCTTATAATAAAATAACAGAAACTGGATAATTTATAAATAAAATAAATTTATTTCTTACAGTTATGAAGGCTGAGAAGTTCAAAGTCAAGGGGCCACATCTGATGAGGGTCTTATTGTTCTTAAGGACCCTCTGCAGAGTTCCAAGGCTGCACAGGGCATCGCATGGTGAGGGGCTGAGAGTGCTCTGATCTCACTTACTCTT
Source organism: Homo sapiens (assembly GCF_000001405.40). NCBI lineage: Eukaryota > Metazoa > Chordata > Mammalia > Primates > Hominidae > Homo > Homo sapiens. The sequence goes on along the minus strand of NC_000009.12, from coordinate 32,835,012 downwards.
CTTATAAAGCCACCAGTCCCACTCCCATTATAGCCCACTAATCCATGAATTAGTTAGTCCATTCACGAGGGCAAATCTCTTATGTCCCCATCACCCCTTAAAGGCCTCTCCATACTGCTACCTTGGGGATTACGTTTCAACATGAGTTTTGGAGGGAACGCACATTCAAACCATAGCATCCTGTATTTGAACTTATGTATTCTTTTGTTCCTAATGTGAGTATTCGTATCTCCTGCATGTTGCTGCATGCAGTTGTTAAAGATTGGTTTTTAAGAAAATCAAACACTCTTAAGGCCATAGGGAAATATTTAACATCATCATAGTGATTTGATTCATGTTGTCTGTTGGGGAAATAAACCAGATGTATACTGCTTAGCAGAAGACATATACTTCTTGTATATTTACATACATAATACATAAAAAGACACTGAGTATTGAATGTGGAGAGAAGTTATATAAATCTTGGCCAGCCAAACGGTAATTATATTCATTTATTCCAGGTTCTAGTTATTCAGAGAGGTGATTCTTCCCACACTCTGATCTTTAAAGTGTGAATACATGCATTTGGAGCAAAATGTAAATGGTGCAACACAGATTTGTAACAGCAGCATTATTCGTGAGAGCCCCAAACTGGGAACAACCTAAATGTCCATCAACTGGTGAATGGATCAACACATTGTTATATAGCCATACTATGGATAATTGCTCGGCCATAAAACAGAATGAAATAGTAATACAGGCCACGATGTGGACGAATTTCAAAAACATACTAAGCAAAAGGCCAAATACCACATAATGTATGATTCCATTTATATGATATTCTAGAAGAGGCAAAAAGATCATGTCAGAGAGCAGATGGGTATTGCCTGGGCCTGTGTGGAGGAGGTTATTGACTGCAAAGGGGCACAGGGTATTTTTAGGGTGTTACCGCTGTTGTATATCTTGAGTGAGTGGTTACATAATGACATGATTATATTCATTTTCCAAATTCATTAAACTGTACACTTAAAATGGGTCAGTCTAATTGTTTCTAAATTATACCATAATACAGATGGAAATAATTTCTAAGTGTGTAAAAGGGAACAGTAAAAAGTAATTCTCCCTCTCACATCTGTCTTTATCCCTTTTCCCTCCCAGTATCCCTCCCCTCAAGCTCTCACCTTAGCTTTTATAGTGGTTCTTTAGATTTACATAATGGACACTTGAATAGTTTGAAAATTAGATTAGGAATACAGGAATTCAGATGTCAAATTTTGATAACTGATATTATGAAAAGGTCCTCAATATTATTATATTTGACTGTACACTCAGAACTGTCTGTTTCTTGGTGCCCCTTACTGAATACTTGCTACGGACCAGCTACTTTACAAACGCTTTTTATTCCATTCTCACCACAATCCTCTGAAATATGTATTAAGAATCCCCTTTGATAAGTGAGGAAGCTAAAGCTTAGGGAGGTTGGGTAACAAGGTTACCCAGCTAGTTAGTAGCAGAGCTGGGGTTCAAATCCAGGTCTGTCCCAGGCAAACAGTCCCTAATCCATACTTCACTGTGCTATGCCATTACCTTGGTTTGGAACAGAGGGAGGGAGGAAGGGAGGGAGGTCCACTGGGTCAACAGAGCAGCCTTCGTGAGCTCACTTCCAAATCCTGTTACTGTCTTTGCCAGAAATTTAGAACAGCCTGCTTCCCTTACCTCCATGTCCATACCCCTTCAGAGTTTCTGATTAGCACTAGTTCTCAAAACAGGAATATTATGGTTTTGTTTTATTGTATTAAGTTCTTCGGGACCTTAGGTGTTTTCATCCTTCTTTGCTTCTTGTTCAGTGAAAATTAATTCTACTGCAAAAGATAAAGGTCATACTTTTATGTGATGTGCCTTTTTCAGTTCCCACTAAAACTTTATCAAATGTATTTTCCCCATTGTCTCTGCAGAAGGAATAGGGGAAGTCTCGGTAGTGAAAAATCCCTTCTGTTCCACAAAGCACCTTCTCCTTAAAATAGTGCCCTCAAGGGACACAGGCAGGCAGATGCTTACAGTGGCCAAATGATCAGCTGCAAGAGTTTTAGGAAAACAAATAAATCCTCTGAGCCCTGCGGGTCATACCTGCTCTATTGTTTTAATCTATCTTCAGTTGAGTCCGGCAAAGACCAGGTCAGATACCGGCACAATATTGGAAATGACTCCAGCTTGTAAAGAAAAATGAAGGAATGCAATGAGACTGCTATTGCCAAAAACATTCCAGTGCTCTTTTAAATTCTCTTGTATCACACTGAATTATTCACCTCCCTGCCCTCTTCAGACAGTGGTCTGACCTGATTGCTAAAGCAATGTGTCACAATACAATGTCAAACTCCAGGAAATTCGTGTCAAAATCTCTATAGTGAGTTGAGCATCCATTCTGAATGTGCTTTTGTTCATCAGTGGGTGTGTGGGATGAGCAGACAGCTGGAATATTCCCTACATGCAAAGTTAAATCTGCGCTGTTAAAGGATGCCAGCAGCCCCACCCTGCTGAGATTAGAGCTCCATTGGCCTCCCCAGTTTCTAAGCTCTGTGGACAGGAAGAGTGTAGCAGCTACTGCTGTATCCCCAGTGCCTTCAAACTCTGCTTGGCACATGGAAGGTTCTCCATCACAAGGTAGGGCTGGGACAGACAACAGCACCATGGGACCCACCCTTGTGCAAGGGCAGAGGAGTTTGCCTCTTGGGGCCAGGAAAGAGGCTTGGGGAGGCTATGACAAGCTGGATGGAGTGCATTTGCCCCTTTTCAATGGGGGCAGAGCAGCCACTCAGATATCTGAGGGATGCCATGCAGTGCTGGTGTTGCCAGATCTTCGTTTTCAAAAGAATTTAGCAGTCTAGATTTTTAAGTGAAATTTCCTATATTTTCTAACACCGTTTAGGCAAAATACTTATATGCCAGCTGGATTGGATGTACAGGCTGCCAGTTGGGATTCCCTTTTCTAAGCATTTACAGGATCTAAAAATGTATTCTGGTAAAAAACTAGAAAACTTTGTTTCATGGAATAACTTTAAAAATAAGTTTTAGTCACACTACCCCAAAATGGTGGTGCTTTAAATAATTGGGGCCTGGTACTAGTAACTTACAAACTGGTGTGGTCCCAGTTGTCTAACAACTTACATGTTCCTTTGTCCCTTCCTGCCTTGTCTTCCTTCTCCTCCTCACTGGGATGGTGAACTCCGGGGTGATCTGAGACCCTTAGGGCTGTCTCCACTATGGAGAGGTGACTGGAAGCCCGGGCTCAGCTCCTTTCAGGCTCAGCCTGGCCCATGTTACATCTTCTTCCTGCCCCCTCAGCCTCCTCCTCTTTACTGACTTCTCCCTGTTAGCCTTTAAACATGCTCAGGTCTCTGTAAACTTAGAGAGGGGTTTTGGCATTTGGCTAGGCTGGTCTCAAACTCCTGACCTCAAGTGATCTGACTGCCTCAGCCTCCCAAAGTGCTAGTGATTACAGGCATGAGCCACTGCGCCCGGCCTCATTCTTCCTTCTTGAAACAGTTTTCATTTGAGCGTCACCATTCCTCATTTTCCAGGTTTTCTTTTGATGTATCTGGTTGATCCTTCTCAGGCTCCTACAGGTGCTCCTCCTGGGGATGTAAAGTTGATGATACTCATAGTCCTACCCTAAGCCCTGCCCTGTCCTAACTACTCCCCCTCTATGGATGCTCTAAACTGCCCCCGTGGCTTATGCTGGGACCTCTGTGCCAGAGACCCTGAAGACTCTGTTGCCAGCTCGGATTTCTTCCTGCATACCAGGTGGAATTATTTCACTCCTGCTTGTCATCCTCGAGTAGTGTCTCTTAGGCACCTCCACCTCAACATGTCCAATACTGAACCCCATACTCTTCCCCACTTCAGTACTGCTTCTTTTCCTCCCATTTTCAGCTTTTCAGAGAATGGCATGTCCATCCACCAGGGCAGACACACCTGGACGTCATTCTCGACCCCTCCTTCTCCCTCTCCCACCACTCCTAGCAGTTACCAGGTCCTGAATCTTCATCACTGTCCTTCTCTCCATCCCTGGGGCAGGGCACCATCGTCCCTTGCTCAGATGATAGGAACAGCCTCCAAGTGGTGCTCCCTGCCTCCAGTCTTACCCATCCCTCCCCCACTACTTTTTAAATCTACACTATAACCAGGCTTATCTTTCTTTTCTCCACTTAAAAAAATTTGTTTTAAATTACATAATGCATCAGAGCAATCTTTCTAAAAGGCAAACCCAACCCTCTCATGCTTCTATTTAAAACTCCATATTGGTTCTCCACTGCTCACAGACCCTGCATGGCCTGGGTGGGGTTAGATGATGGGGTTTCTGCCCTGTGCCATGCTCACTCATACTAACCTCTTAGTATCTGCTCACACCTTCAGGCCACGGTGCCTTAGCACTCACTCTTCCTCTGCTCAACACACCCACAGCTCTCACCTTTCCTGTCTACCTACTGCTCAGTGTCTAGACTAGGAGCCTTCTCTAAACTCTCATATGGGTGAGGTACCCCTCCCTGAACTTCCTGGCCACACTGCTCTTTCCTCATGGCTTCTACCTCTCAATGTTGTCATGGCTGCCTAATTGCCCACCCCTCCTTGATCACAGGCTCTGGGGGAAGGAAGGGCCAGTCTTCTTTATTTTTAAAATCCTCTTTGCATGGTAGATGTTTGACCCACAATAGAGTAGGTGTTTGAGATACATCTATGTATCTCTATATATGCATATCTACATGCATTAAGTGAACAGATGAATGAATTCCCAAAGACCTTTGGGAGTAAATCTCAGACAACCATCCAGAGGTGAATGGGAGCTACCTTATATGACTCCTGAGAGCAAAATGTGCACCCAGAGATAGATATCATGTAATAGCATGAAATTGCATGTAGCTACAAATCAGGGCTCTCCTACCTGCACCCTCCAGCTGCTGTGTAATCACTTTGGAGAGCTCTTTAAAGTGGCTACAATCCCTCAGCAATAACTTGGAAGCAGTTCATTACTCTCGGCATACTATTTGGGAACCTGATAATAGTAATAATAATAATAATAATAATGATAATAATAATAATAAAAGTAACTACTGTTTAATGAATGTTTGCTATGTGTCAAACCCTGTGCTTAGTGCTTTATGTACTTGATCTTGTTTAACCTTTGTAACAAAGGTTTCATTCATAGGTATTATGAAGTGGATTCATAAATACCTTGGAAAGACCAAGTAGGTATTATGAATACACTCTACAGAAGAGGACAGTAAGAATCAAATTTGTGGAAGTCTACCCATCTGGTAAGTTGGAGATGTATCTTGATGCCAGATCTCATCACTGAGCCAGTAATCTTAACTCTTCACTGTGGTGCTCTTCACAGCAGGGGGCTTGAAGCTTTAGTTTTTATTTCTCACCTTCACTTCTCCAAAGTGGTTCCTAAGTTTTCAGCTGGGCTTCACAATCGAACTTCCAGTTGACTGGGGAAAGAATCTTGCAATTGGCCAACCAAGATGTTGACAGGCTTGTTTCCAAGACAGAAATAACCAGGGGAGTTGTCAGGACTGGGTGTCAGCAACAGAGTGACATTTTGAATTGAGTCATTGATTTTAGTTTTTTGATAACATGATGGTGTGAATTGTTTTCAAAGAGAACTTTCCCACCCCCTGAGATAATATAGGTCAATAATTGTTGATCTTCAGGGTTTAAATGCTTCAAGGAAGGTGCCAGAACACCATCAAGCATATGACTCAAGTCTATCTCCCCAGTATCTCATAACAATAATACTCTAATGCTTGGAGGTTGTAGAGCACTTTTAATTCAGAAGCTAACTAATGTCCTGTCAGACAGAAATAAAGGCTTTTTCCTCTGCACTCTTAGGTTCAATGACTGGAATTGAACTGACAAAAGAGAGATTAACAGGAGAAAAAGGTTTATTTTATATGCATACGAGGGGCTCACAAAAATGAAATAAAAACCGAAAGAAGTAGTTAGACCCGACAGTTATTTTTGCCCTTTTAACAAAGGGCAATACATTTGCAGATAATTGACAAGACAAAGGAAAGGGGTTTGAGCTTCTAGTGGCAGTAAATTGTGGGACGGCAAATATGTGGAAGAAACTAATGGAAGATAAGGGTTATTTAAGTAACGTTTGTGATGCAGGTTTCTCTCAGTACTATTTCTGGGATGATAAGGGTCTAGGAAATTTATGCCCTTCTTTTAGGCAAATAGGAGGAGGGTAGAGAGCTTTTTTTCTTTTCTTTTCTTTTTTTTTTTTTTTTTTTGAGACAGAGTCTCACTGTCGCCCAGGTTGGAGTGCAGTGGCGCAATCTCGGCTCACTGCAGGCTCCGCCCCCAGGGGTTCACGCCATTCTCCTGTCTCAGCCTCCAGAGTGGCTGGGACTGCAGGCGCCCGCCACCTCGCGCGGCTAATTTTTTGTATTTTTAGTAGAGACGGGGTTTCACTGTGTTAGCCAGGATGGTCTCGATCTCCTGACCTCGTGATCCGCCCGCCTTGGCCTCCCAAAGTGCTGGGATTACAGGCGTGAGCCACCGCGCCTGGCCGAGAGCTTTTTTTCTGTGTCTGCTGATTCTCACCTGCCTTCAGCTCAAAATATCTTTATACCAAAGTGGCATACTTTGTTGTGTCATGTTCTGAACCCTTCAGTTCATAAACAAAAGTCTGTTGACTTGCATGGTTCTCTGAACACTGTGGTGGGTAAACTAGATGCTGCTGCTGCTGTTCCTGTGGTCACAACCCAGACCTCATCATTGCTTGAAACTGCTCCTTTAAAAAAATAAGTCCCACCCTGGGTCCACATCTTCCATCTCTTCTCTCTGTCTCACTAAATCTATTTGTTCTTCAGCTGCTCCAAGGCTCCGGGATCTCAACTGTTCCAGCCTAACAAGCTTTTCTTTCTCATGCAGCCTGGAATCCATGATCAATCTCTAGAGTGGTTTCCTGTTGACAATGCTCAACTCTGTGCCACCTCTTTTTTAACCTGCACTTGCTCTACAGCTTGTGTCTCTTGGTCAGTCTAACAGGCCTCAGATTCTCCTTGTGCACAGCAGAGATGCTTACATAACCTCACCTGATGACGAGGGCTCCACCTAAGATAAACTCCCTAAGGAGCTGGTTTCAGGGCTGAGGCTCCTGGTGCCTCTAGCTCTTCTTATTGACCAGATGTCTTCCTTTCCTGTTCCCTTTGTTGGCTGTTTCTGATCTCCCATTTCTCCTTTGAGCCACACCCACATGCCCCTCAATCATTGCAGGTGGGACCAAGTCTTTCCTTTCTTAGAGAAAACAGAAGTTCTTAGATGTAAACTTTCCTTTTCACTTTTAAACTTATCTATAAAAGTACTTCTTTCTCCATCTTTTGTTCTTGTTTTAGAAAAGAGTTTCCTCTTTCATAAAGCTGGTTTCTTTCCACCAACGAGTTCTTTTGATAGTTTAAACCAGTGAAGGTGAGGATGTCATTTTTCTGCTTGAAACCTCCCAGATACTTCCAATTACATCCTCACTAAAAAGCAAACTCCTTACTGCGGTCTTCAAGAAATGCTTGCCCTAAAATGGTAGTTCTCTTCCCAGATTGCACTGGGAAGCTCAAAAGCATAACCATGCCCAGGTGCCTCCACCAGGCACTCTGCTTTAATCGGTGCAAACCAAAAAGTGACTGAAGCAGATCTCAATTAATTAGAGGTTCATTTTGCCAAGGTTGAGAATGCACCCAGGAAGAAGAAACAAAAATCATGGTAGGACCTGTGACTTGCACCTTTTCCAAAGATGGTTTTGGAAACATTAATATGTAAAGGAGAAAAAGCAAGCAGGAAGGGAAGGAAAAAAAAGAGACAGCAAGCAATGAGGCCAGTGGTTACATTCTTGTGAGGCTCTGATTAGCGCTCAGGAAATCTACATTTTACATAAGCTAAAGTAAGCATGCGAAATTACAGCTATCTGGGAACAAAAGGAAGGAAGTTTTTGCATGACTCAGTTCCCAAGTTTAACTTTCCCTTTGGCATAGTGAATTTGGGGTCCTGAGATTCTATTTTTCTTTCACATTTGTATGAGGTGAGATCTGGTCAACAGTATTTTTTGTTTATTTAATTTTATTTATTTATTTTTATTTCAATAGTTTCAGGGTTACAAGTGGTTTTTGGTAACGTGGATGAATTGTATAGTGAAGTCTGAAATTTTAGTGCACCCATCATCTGAGTAGTGTCCATTGTACCCAATATGTAGTTTTTTATCCCTCATCCTCCCAGGAGTATTTTTAAGACATCCCGGCGGATTCTGCTTTCCTCTTGCAGCACCTTGTCCCCTTCTCCCCGTGACTCCCCACCTTGACCTCTCCCCTCCAGTCTCTATAAGGCTGTTTCCCAAACTTCAGGTTTCAGTTTTAGTGTCACCATTTATGGAAGATAATGTTTTATCCAGCACTTGGTTTGTTTCCTTCACCACACATACCATGGCCTATGTTTGTCTCTTCCCTTGTTTCTCACCTGTCGCCCCACTGCTAGCCTCGACGCTTCCTGAGGTCAGGGCCCCTTTGGGAATCAAGTTCACCATTGATTCCCCAGTGCCAAGCCGAGCCTGGCACACAGGCATTCACTGAGGATTTGGGGAGTTAATATTAGATAAAGAATTGCTTCTGATCTTGCCTTCTTCCTATGGGACCTTGTTCTATTGACTTTTTTTTCTTTCTCAGATCTTCAGACTTTCTCCACTGATCCCTTTCTCTCAGTCTAAAAACATACTCAGAACTTTCCCATCCAAAATCAAACATGCATAGAAAACCTCTTTTGGCACCTTCTCTTACTTAAGTTTAATCCTGTCTTGTTTTTCCTTCTACTTAGAGAAGCAATTTAGCCTCAGGATAAGAAAGTCAGACTGCCTGGATTCAAATCAGATTGTTGCTATTTACTAGATTTGAGATATTGGGTAAATTGTGTCACCTCCTTGTGCCTTGTTTTCCTCATCCATCAAGTGGAGATGGTAAGAGTACTTTACTCATGGGGTAGCTATAAGGATTAAGTGAGGTACCGTATGTAAAAGGTGCCTGGCTTCTATTAAGCACTCTGAAATATTAGTTGTTATTCTTAAAGTCATCTCCATTGATTGTTTCTGCTCCTCAATCCATTATAAATTATCCTCTGCCCTGAAGCATTACCTTGCCCTGAGGCCTTTTATTACTTCTCACTTCACTTGATCCTGCTGAGGCACGGGATGCTATTTACCATCTCTTCCATCTCTTCCCTCTTCTCCACTCACCATTCTCTTTTCTCCCTTCCTACCTTTTGGGCTGACTTTTCTCCAGGTCTCTTCTACTGTTTCCTTCTTCTCTGATGGTTTTAGGACTTTGTTTTTGGCCCTCTGTCTACTCAATCTTTCTATTCAAGTTGGGCAATTTCATCCACATTTATGGTTTGCAAACAGTTCTTTGCTGATGAAAACTCCCAGGTCATTATCTTTATCCTAGACCTCTCGCGAGCTATAGGGCAATGGTGACAAATGTCCCTTAGACCCCTCCATCTGCATATCTTACATGGACACCACTTTCAACATGTTTAAACCAGATGTGTTAACTTCAAAGCATAATCTTCTCCATCAATCTCTACCTCATTTAATTACACACCCCTTGTAAAATGTTTGCTGCCTGAACCACAGAGCAAATCCTCTGAATGCTAAACAAATGGCTGCATTCCCTTAGGGAGTAAAGAAACAAGAGTTAAAGGCTGATTAGTTACTCCTCAAAGTTAAGTATGTGGCATTGTACAGTGAAAAGAGAACAGGCTTTGAAATTAAACAGACACCTTTTTGGATCATAGCTTTGAGCTTTCCTGTCTGTGTGACCTAAAATGGGGATGACAGTGCTTACCCGTCAAGGTTGTTAGGATGATAAAAGGAAGTGCAAAGCATGTGGCACAAATTTGACACACATTAAGTGTTTCATGTTTTCTTACTCTAGACTTGATTTATAACTTCCTTCATAGGCTTGTAGATTCTCAATCCATGAATTTTTCTCACTGACTAGGCCAGTGTTACTGGAGTTGTTGGAACCAAAATGCCTTGATGTTGTCTACTTGGAGATGCAGTTGTGGCCAAATCCAAAGCTTATACTGTTTGCCTCATGACAGCCAGTAAGTCAAGAGACAAGGTGTTCGGGTGAGAAAGGCGACTTTATTTTGGAGAGGCAGCAAACCAAGAAGATGGCAGACTAGTGTCCTAAAGAACCATCTTAAAGGCATGAATCTCAGGCTTCTTTTTATATTGGGAAAGGGGGAACAAGAAGGGGGTTGTGGTCAGGATATTGCAGGTGACCACAGATATCTGGGTGTCAGCCGGAGTCTGAGGGGGTTGCAAAACATCTTTGTCCTTGGTCAGGTCACAGTGCTCCTATAAATCTTTAACATAATATTGTTACTTGTGTGTATGCTCTCCTCATCTCTTTGGGGCTTAGTTTTGGGAAGGGACTATTATCATCCTTGCTTTAATGTTAAACTGAATTCCTCCTACACTTAGCGTGGCTTACAGGCAGGAACAAATAAAGGCAGTCAACTTTTGAGGCTAGAAGCAAGATGAAATCAGCTATGTTATATTTCTCTCACTGTTGCACTGTGAACACAGCCTCCGAATGGAGGTAACCAGCTAAGGTGAGATGCCCTCTCTGGCAGACGGTGAAAGATCTGCTTTTCCAAGGGTCTAGTTTGTGTGCTTTCCCATGTTGTCCAAAAGACCACCAGGATGGCTAAATAACAGAAAAGAGAGTTTTATTGGTGATATCAGTTTGCACACTGGGAAGGGGCAGTCTCGCGTGTGGACTGAAGGTGCTCTCTCTTCAAAGAGGGAAAGGGTAGGTTGGGTTTTATTCCTCACAGGGCCTGCATCACACAATAGAGGTTTTGGGGAAAGGTTATACGTATTTATGGGGGGAGTGGAATGCATGTTCAATGGGCAAATGTATATATAACATACATCGCATGTTCACTTTGGGGCCAGGTTTTAGCGTTAAAATGAGGTGAAATTTGGCTCTTTACATCAAAAGGTGAACTATAGGACACAAAGACAGTTTGTGTGGAGTCTCTATAAGCTGCTGAAATTGGCTTAAGGTCTGCAGTTGCTTATCAGGAAAGAATGTTTGTAGGGCTGTTCTTCTGTCCAATCAGCATTGTAGTGGTCTGGGTTGTCAATCAGCTGATAATTTTCACAGTAGCTCCTAGTTATAGAGTTTAGCAAGAATATGGTTCTCCTTATAGCTGTAGAAATTTAGGAAGTTGCCATGCCAGCTGATCCCTGAACCCTCAACCCATGGGTAACTTCTGTTTCTTTAACCTTAGGATTCATCTTAGTCAATAAAAGAGCTTTTATTTTGGTCTCTCAGATCACAGCCACACATCAAATTATGTGGTAATTCCTCTGTCTGCTGCTTTCTAAAAAAAAACCCTTAAAACCTTTTTTCTTTTAACTTTCTATTTGTCGAATCAAAATAGGTCCAATACAGGGCATTAACATCACAACTGCTTAGATGAGAACTTGCACTGCTTGATGAGGAGGGGGAGGATTCAGGGGAGGGGGAAACATCACCGGGGCTCTGCACAGAAGACAGTGCAAGCTGGATGGAAATTTTGTGAAATATAAGGTTATTGTTTCAGTGAGCTGATTGTGATCTGCACATTCTTCATGGTCTTCAAGATAGTAGGGTCCCTGTATTAGTCAGGGTTCTCCAGAGTGACAGAGCTAATAGAATGTATGCGTATATGAAAGGGAGTTTATTAAGCAGAATTGACTCACACGATCACAAGGTGAAGTCCCATGATAGGCCATCTGCAAGTTGAGGAGCAAGGAAGCCAGTAGTGGCCCAGTCCAAGTGCCAAAAGCTCAAAAGTAGGGAAGCCAACAGTGCAGCCTTCAGTCTGTTGCCAAAGGCCCAAGAGCCCCTGACAAACCACTGGTGTAAGTCCAAGAGTCCAAAAGCCAAAGAACTTGGAGTCTGATATTCAAGAGCAGGAAGCATCCAGCACGGGAGAAAGATGAAGTCTGGAAGACCCAGCAAGTCAGATTCTTCCACCTTCTTCTGCCTGCTTTTTCTAGCTGTACTGGCAGCTAATTGGATGGTGGCCATCCACGGGGTGGGTGGGTCTTCCTGAGGGTGGGTCTTCTTCTCCCAGTCCACTGACTCAAATGTTAATCTCTTCTGGCAACACCCAGAAGCACCCAGATACACTCAGAAACAATACTTCGCATCCTTCTATCCAGTCAAGTTGACACTTAATATTAACCATCACAGTCCCAAACATTTCCAGGTGTGTTCTACTTGAGTTCAGTTCAGGGGGCATTTACTTCCCTGAAGAAGTTCATGTGAACCTAAGTGATGCTCCAAAGAGTGGAAAGTAGCCCTGGTGATAGGGGGATGGGTACAGGTGGAGGTCTGAGCCAGGCTGAATGTGGTGATTTTTGCCAGTATTGGGATGATTTCCCTATAGCCTCCCTGCTAGCTGATCACAGGGGAGTAGAAGACATGGATCAGAAATGGCCCCCAAACCCACAAGCACTCATTTCCACCTCATCATCTTATAAGAGCATCTGCAGTCCCCGGGTTGCTACAAGCACACAGTCGTCACCAGTAGTGAGAAGATGTGTTGGCATGGGTTACAGTAAATCGAAGAAAAATGGCACCAGATGGAGTTAGATAGTCAAGGAAGGCTATTCAAGATGATTGCGATAGAGGAGAGGGATTGAACTCAACTCCACTAAAACAAGAGAGGGAGCATTTTTAAAGCTCTGGGTGAGCTAGTGGAAAAGTACTAGAGTATGTTGGGGAGTAAGTTGGTCAATGTAATTAGGCCATCAGTGTTTCCTAGTTGGTCTTTATTGAAGTTAGGTTTTTAGTCTCCTACAAAGTCTGGGAGATAGGGGCACTGTCTTTCTTGATAATTACATTTCAAAGGATGGCTCCCAGATCCTTAAGAACGATATTCCTGGGTTACAAAAGTGGCAAGAGGCTAGGAGAAGATGTACATCTCAAAGGATCAGAAATAATTTACAATTGAAAGTTTTCTAAAATAAGTGCTCTAAGAAGGGGAGGTCAGAGAAAGCTGTGTAAAGTTTGTCACGCTGAGGGGAACATTGAGGCCATCTTTCAAAAGCCGGCCACCAAGTGGAAAATTTCCATTTGGATTTCTGGTTATGATGCATTACCAACCAGGTTATTTGTGTTACTTAAAACCAAAAAAGATACTCAAATGTCCTAAGCCATGCCCTTTTAAAAACCACTTTCATTCATTAATGGAGGCTCTTTACCTAAAAGTAAAAGACTCAAGTAGCAAAAGATTAGAATTAAACTAAAAGTCTTTTCTCTAAACCTCTACTGGGTTGGTAAAAGCTCAAAATAAGGCAAATGTATCCTCTGTTCTATAGACAATGGTATTTAAGCTCTCTCATTTTCTGCTTTCCATGATTCATGTGTATGAGGGGAAGTAGTTTAGGATCTAGGGTGATATTATTGAACTGTTTAAGGCACGGGATTTTGGGATCCTGGCTCTGCAATTTATAAATTTCTGTTCTCCTGGGCATGTATTTAGCTTCCCTTAGCCTCGGTTACCTAACGCATACAATGGGGGTGAGTCTAACTACCTCTTAGGGAAGCTATAAGGGTAAAATGACATAGTAGACTTATTAGAATCTTAGCACAGTACTTGGTATATATGTCAGGGCCAACAAATGGTAATAACTATTAATATGATATAATGTCTTTATGGAGCTTCAAAAGAGAATTTTAGTATAAAAATTTTAAAAATGGCAAGTGCTGTTTCAAGTTTATTACTTGCCTTATTGGAAGTAATATACTTTCCATTATTTTTGTTCAGTCATGATTGGCTTATATAATTAATACAATTATTCACAGAACAATTATTCTGGTTGGCATTATCCAAATGTTGCCTCTTTCCAGCTTAATGAAGCTTAATTAGGTGGGCAGGGTAATAAAAACACAGGGTTGGCCACTCAGTGTTGTCACTTGTTAACAAGGTTTAGGGTTGACTGTCAGAGGAAATGACATTCAGATCCTGCTGACTGAGCAGAACCACTTCTGAGCAAGAGAAGTTCCTCTGCCCCGCAGCTCAAGGCTCCTTAGGATCCACTCCAGCATCCTAAGGCTCCAGATGAAAGAAGGTCCAAAAGACCTATACAGAGCTCAGAATTCTTTTCTTGGAGGCCCCAAACAGGCTAGCTTCAGCTGTTCTCTCCATACCTCCTCCGGGTCCCCCAGTTTTGTTTTTTCCGAGGGTTGAGTGTGGGAGCTGGGAGCCCAGTAAGTGGGAGGCAGCCTCTGGGCTATCTGACCACCCAGTGGAGTGGGAAGAAGTGAAGGAGGAGGGACGATCTGGAAGAGATCTAGGAAGGGCGCCATGTGACATTAGACTTAATCCTTTTGGTTTAACCATCCAAGCTCCCAATCTCTGTTGACAGCTATGGCCCAGCGTGGGGCACTTGATGATGGATCCAAGTTTCTCCATGGTGACACGTGTGTGGAAGGTGGGGTGTGGATGTGTGCATCTGTATGCATGTGCAGGTGTGGGAGAGGGAGCTTGGGCTTTTCCTAGAGCCCCTCACCCCCAAACACAAGGTCATACTACTAGGTGATTTTATTTATTTACTTATTAATATTTATTTATTCTTAGTGCAGTAATGGGAAGAGGGGAAAGCATAGAACAAGGAGTTTGATCTGTAACTGACTGTGAACAATCAATTGAGATAACTCACTACCTTTGGATCCGCCAGTAGGTGATGTTAGATGGTCAAGAGACAAGAGCTTACCATTAAGTCACATCATGAGAAAGTTGTTTGTTTTTCTGTTTTCTTTCAGTGCTTCTGATTGTCAGGGAAAAATGGGAATTACTTTGGTAGTAAGATGCTTTCTTTTGACTCTCTAAGTTTTCCTACTCTTTATTAAAAAGATTAATTGAGGCCACTTAAAGAAAGATGTTAACTCAATAATAGCTCAGGTGAGTGTATGGCTGTGGCAAAAATCATGATGTGGGCCAGGTATGGTGGCTTACTCCTGTAATCCCAGCACTTTGGGAGGCCGAGGTGGGCGGATCACAAGGTCAGGAGTTCGAGACCAGCCTGGTCAACATGGTGAAACCCCATCTCTACTAAAGAATACAAAAAAAAATTAGCCAGGTGTGGTGGTGCGTGTCTGTAATCCCAGCTACTCAGGAGGCTGAGGCAGGAGAATCGCTTGAACCTGGGAGGCAGAGGTTGCAGTGAGCCGAGATTGTGCCATTGCACTCCAGCCTGGCAACAGAGCAAGACTCTGTCTCGAAAAAAAAAAAATCATGATGTGGGATGCACCTGACAAGGCAGACCCACCATCTTGGCTCTAAGAAACGGTTAGAATGAGAGTGCAGAGTTTTCAGGAGGCTTCATATCTTTACCTTGCTCTGACTGCTTTTCTCTCAGGTAGCCAAAGGCTGGCTGCTTGAGGGAGGTATGTGATAAGAAGGGGCAGATATCCCTGAAAAACTGTCCAAAAGTAAGAGTGGACACCAACTTTTCTCTAGAATATACAAGATTTTTTCCCCAGGTCAGCAGCCCCTGCCACGTAACTGTGATGGGAAAAGCTAATCAGGTAGAGCTTATTATTATATGTGAAGCACTTGGGGGATGTTTGCTGGGATGTGCTCTGGGATACCTCTTCGCTAGGTGAGATTCTTGAAGTTGAATTTTCTTGGTCATGTTTCAGAGTTGCTCAGTTTTTCAGGGCAAGGCAAAAGCAAGGGATGTTGCCTGGACTTATGTAACTGTGTTATTTCCTCTTCTGTCCTCCAGCTCTGAAAATCCAGTGTAGTTCAAGTGCATATCAAATCTTGGAGCAAATTGGAGACTACATACTGGTATGTCTTAGGAATTTACAAGTCAAGGTATATATTGGCCACCTGTATGTGTGGAGGCAGGCATGGGAGAGAAGCACTACAAGGGAACTCTCACCATTAAAGTCCTAAGAGTCACTGTGCCCAGTAAACTCGTGATAAAAATTTGCAGCATTGCATATTATGTCTCTGCTACAGGTGAAAAAGTCCCAAACAAAACTGGAAATTCTTTGATTTTCACTACTCAGGAGGCTGAGGCGGGAGGATTGCTTGAGCCTAGGAGTTTGAGACCAGCCTGGGCAACATAGGGCTGGTTTGTTTTGGCTCATAAAGAATATGTATTTTTTTCATCCCCAGACCTTTATGAGCAGATAGGACATCTCTTAAGATGTTCCTTCTTGGGGATGAGGAAGAGAAAAGAGAGGAAGGGACAACAATCCTTGGAAAAACTGTGCAACAGGCAAAATATGTCTGTTTTTTTTCCACATTCTCTTTCCAAATTCTTCCCCCTAATTTCAGCATCCTTCTCATTTCCAGCCACTCAACCCAATCTTCTCCCAGTGCTTGACATTCCTCCTATAATAGAAGAAATCCATTTATGAACTCTTCCCAGTGAGGTACTCCCGGGGTGCTTCCCTTGTAAGGTGTCATTATTTTAAAAGAGGATCAATCCCTAGAAAAGGCAATGAAATTAACTATATGAAAGTAATTGAAATTCACTACACCTGGGACAGAAGGTGGAGCGAATGCGAGCTGAAGGTGGTAGAGATTTTCAGACCCCCCTGTGCTCGATCCATCCATGGGGCAGATGCAGTGGACGGGGGGTAGTCCTGGCTCTCCTGCCACCAGAGCCTGATTCTTTCTCAGCTCACACTAGCTGTGGTGTGACTGGACCCCTTCACTCTGCTCCAGTTTCCTCAGATGGAAAGTCACAGAAATAATAATTGTGTGACTTAGAAAAAGAATAAAGAAACCAGGTCTGCTGCAAGCCAATCTAACCAGCTATAAAATAATGTGAGATGCATGTGCATTAGTTGTGGGCGGTTCCCTCCAGACATTGCCCAAATAGTTTCTGTGGTATTTTTGTATATTTTAAATATGAAATCTGTTCAGAGAGAGTACCATGGTAACCTACATAGAAAATCCCAGGAAAAGCACCACACTCTTAACTCTGAAACTTGTTTTGCACAGGGCTCTGGCCGCATGAGTGTTTATTGAAATGAATTACAATTAATTTGATTGAATCTGGTCAGCAAATACAAGCAGGTAATGTTTTCTCTTGCAGAGTGTATCAGAGCGAATCTGGAGTGACAGCTTTCAAATTCCAGTTTCCATGTAAATGAGAGGCAGAAATTCTGACCCCGGTGCTGGGAGGAGGCTGTGACTGATCCACAGTTGTTGGAAGGGCACTAATTTTTCATGTGGCGATATGCCTGTTTAGTCACTGTCCTGAAAAGACGTTATTCTTCAGAATTGCCGGGTCATTATACTCTTTTAGCTTTGTCAGAAGGGCTAAGTAGCTGCAGAGCCCAAGTTTGTGTCTCCCCTCCCAGCTTGGCAGTACATGTGGGATTTGTTAGCCATGGCAGCACAGGTGAGTGTGTGCCGGTGACTGACTCAATCTGCCTGTGTCTCCAGGTGCCATGAAGCAGTGGTCTCTGCCCTGAATGCAGGGTGTGCACTCAGCAGCAAATGGGAAACCAATTTAAGAGCTGTCTCTTGGGGATGCCAGTCCCTTGGGACCCCAGGATTTCCCTGGGCAGACTTGAGGATGTGCCCTGTCATGTCCAATGAGTTGATGGGTCTATCTCCAGATGGCTCCCTTTCTGGCTGAATTGGCTATTTCTCCCCTAATTAACACTTGTGGTTTTCCTCCCTGGGAAAAAGGGAAATGGTCACCTATTGGCTGGAAGGAAAGAAGTTTACTGCATCCCGCAAAGAGTTCTTTGGCACTGCTGTCCCCGTTACAGAACCAGAGAGAAGCTCTTTTAATTTAATTCCTGGAGTGATTAACAACCAACTGCTCTGTAGGTCAGCTTAAAGTCATGTCTTTGTTCTGTACCTGTGTTTTTACTCATTCTGGCCATGTAGATCAGCGTGTCACACTCTTCTCATGAAATGTAGGGAGCCTAGACATTGATATTTTCATGGCATCTTTGGGCTGCATGGAAGGGGTGACACTTGCTCCCTTCAGATCATCTGAAACCACTGAGGGTTAAAACTATAAAAACTGTAAACATTCTCTCATTTTCCTTTTTCCTGGGGAAAATGAGTGAGTAGTGGTCCCTGGCAGGGGTGTACATGCAGCTAAGAGGAGAGAGCGTTAAGTCAGGTGGCACTGAGGACCAAGGTTTTCTGGTTTGGTGGCAGATGTAAGTTTCATCAGACATGTCAGGGCAGGACTGGTTTACAACAAAATTTTGAGATTGGCAAATATATTCCCTAAGCTGCTTTATTCTCCTTTCTGCATCTGCTTCCTTTATGTGGCTTCCTTCTCACATTCTCCCTGTCCTGTGCTTTTGCTTGGACCCTCACCCATGCCAGCATCTCATTCAGAGCTCTAGATCAATTTGTCCTCTAGGGTCTCAGTCAAATCCAGCTGTCCTTTGGGGCCTCATTAGTGACTGGCTTCTGGTTAATGGAATACGTTACTCTTGTTGCCATATTAAATTTGTATGGGACAGGTGATATTTTGCGTTTTAAGAAGGATCACTGTTATTTTATCTTATGGAAGTAGCACACAGTAAGAACATAGATTTTGGGACAAGCCTTTAGAAGGGAATTTTAAAGTAACGCTCAACACCTTCCGAAGAGGGAAGTGTCTGTTCTCTTTTTGTGAAGACCTGTATGTCCTTTTAAACAAGACATCCTTAGCTTCCTTTCAGTCTTAGTTCAGGACACAGAAAGAAAACTGGAAGCTTTTAGAGGTCGGTTTTCCTTTTGATATATCAAGAGTTACGTTCCACTCTTTGGAGAGCAGCTTTTCCTGTCACAGATATTAAACCCTTTTCATGGTCCTTTACATTCTAATCATGTGGTTTGAGCGAAGAGTAGGAGCCTTAAGGGGTGTAGCCACCCGAATGCTAAGGAGCCCTTGGAAGCTGCCCACATTATCTTCAGGGGGAGAACTCCCTCTGCCACAGCCTGGAGCCCATGTTCACTTCCCCAATTCCCAACTGCCATTCCCATTTCATTCCCTCCCTTACCTCATGCCAGACTCATTGTCTTAAAGTCCAGTTCCAATTTTTTCCTGTTACAGCTCAGAGAGCTTTCCTGGCTCTCTGTCCAAACTGAACAAATACTTCACCCTGACCTCTTGGATCCTCCATGGTAATGATCTTGGCAGCCATCTCTCACACTGCGTTTGCTACATGCAATATGTGATTCTAAACACTTTACACATATTAACCTATTTCATTCCTTTTTTTTTTTTTTTTTGAGACGGAGTCTCACTCTGTTGCCCAGGCCGGAGTGCAGTGGCGCAACTTGGCTCACTGCAACCTCCGCCTCCTGGGTTCACACCATTCTCCTGCCTCAGCCTCCCGAGTAGCTGGGACTATAGGTGCCCGCCACCACGCCCGGCTAATTTTTGTATTGTTAGTGGAGGTGGGGTTTCACTGTGTTGGTCAGGCTGGTCTCGAACTCCTGACCTCTTGATCCGCCTGCCTCGGCCTCCCAAAGTGCTAGGATTACAGGCGTGAGCCACCGCGCCCGGCCAGACTGTGTCCTCCTTAATCACCTTGATGTGCCCGGTGTCTTGTGGCCTATCAAAAGATAATTTTTATATTGAATAAATATTTACTATGACAATTTTAAAGTGTGTAATTTGTGACTGGCAACTCATATCCTGCATGGTTATTTTGTCTGTGTAAAGTATTTTATGTTTCTTAGGTGACTGCCATGCTATTTGTCTCTCCTTGCTGCAGTGCAAATTAGCTCCCTTCATTCCTTGGAAGGACAACTTGTAAGGGCTATACAATCTACTGGTTTGTCTTTTACTTCATGAAAAAGGTGTAGGGACGAAAATACCCTCCACGCTCCTGCAGGTTCAAGTCTGCTAAACAAACACGATAGATTAACAGGAGAAAAAGCATACAAATTTATTAATATGCACATGGACACAGGAGTCCCACAGATATGAGACTCAAAGAAGGGCCAGATAGCTGAGGCTTAAAATAGCACCCTCTTCATCAGGGACAGGGAAATGGGGGTGTAGACAATTTTGAGGCATAGCAAATGATTTTCAGGGGAATCAAATGAGCCCAAAGAGCAGACAGTAGTTTGTAAATGATCCCCTTTGAAAGCTGAACAGAACAAGTTACGGGAAGGTTTGGAGCACTGTGAACAAAGGTTATCTTATTACACATGTAAAATCTTTTCAGTAATCTCTCAGAACTGCCTACAGAAGAATAGATAGAAAGTCTGTCTGGGTGTGGTGATGACTTTTATTTAGTCTCTCCTCTTTTCCAGTAGTTAATCTTTCCTGGTTATTTGATGGGATTTCTGGAAATGGAGTCTTAAGACAATTGTATTTCTTTTGTTTTTGTTTATTTTTTATTTTTATTATTTATTTATTTTTTTTTGAGACAGGGTTTTGCTCTGTCACCCAGGCTGGAGTGCAGGGCGCCATCTCGGTTCATTGCAGCCTCCGCCCCGTGAGTTCAGGCGATTCTCCTGCCTCAGCTTCCCAAGTAGCTGGGATCACAAGCCTGCGCCACCATGCCCGGCTAATTTTTGTATTGTTAGTAGAGATGGGGTTTTGCCATGTTGGCCATGCTGGTCTCGAACTCCTGGCCTCAAGTGATCTGTCTGCCTCAGCCTCCCAAAGTGCTGGGATTACACGGGTGAGCTGCTGCGCCTGGCCTGTTTTTTAAAAAACTTTTAGGTTCGGGGGTACAAGTGAAGGTTTGTTACATAGGTACACTCATGTCACAGGATTTGTTGTACAGATTATTTCATCACCCAGGTACTAAGCCCAGTACCCAACTGTTGTCTTTTCTGCTGCTCTCCCTCCTCCCACTCTCCACCCTCAAGTAGACCCCTGTGTCTGTTGTTTCCTTCTTTGTGTTCATAACTTTTCATCATTTAGCTCCTACTTGTAAGTGAGAACATGTGGTATTTGGTATTCTTGCATTCCCCAGTCAGATGAGGGAACCTCCAGAGAGAACCGCTCTCTGTGCTTGGTGGTGGTGGGGAAGGGGTTCAAGGAGAAACAAGTGAAACCTTCTAAGGCCTTCCAGTTTCCTTTAATCCAAAAGTGTTCAGCAAGCCAAAGCGCTGTACTTTGGGGTATTGTTTCTGTGCCCCAGCAGTGGCAGACATAGGTGTTCTGAACTCCCGTTTTCACTGCCCCTTGGGCCACAGGTTTGGCTGTTGTCCTGAGGTCTTTGTAGCAGGGGCTGCAGCTGGGAGTGCTGACCACACAGGGCCAGCGGTCTGGCTGTGCTAGCATTGCTCACTGGTAACGCCAGCAACCAAAGGGCAGGCTGTAGTAAGGGTCAGCCTAACACCTGGTCAGGCCAAACAGAAGGCGCTAGGATGGCTGTGCTGGTCATGAAGCTGATATTGACAAGGATCGGTAAATAAAATGGCCAGAAATGATCAGGACCAGTGATTTTACCTCTTGTCACTCTGAAGGACTTTGTGAATTTTTTTTCTGAGAGTTTTTTCTCACGTGTAAAATTATATTATTAAGTATGCTTAACATGTTTCTTAATCTTTTGTTTATCAGAAGTCTATATTGCTACCAACCAGAGGCTCAGATAAGTAGGAGTAAACCCCTGTTACCCCAGGGAGCAGGGATAATGCCAGCAAAAGGCATATGTACTTTGACCAATGTGGTTTTATTGAGAAGAATGAACCATTTCTTTCAAGTTTTAAGAAATAATGAAAGAGCTATAACCCCTCACTTATAGACCATAGGTCAAAGTAGAGAGAGGGTTTGCCAATCTTTGGGGCCTGTCCCAAGACAAAGTCAAGTGGACTTCTCGGCTGTGTTCTACCTTCACCAGGGTATGTGCCTTGTCTGTCTGAATGTGTCAGTACTGGAGGGTTATCATGGGGCAGGAGTTCTGTGGGTCCACTCAGATTTCCTGCTGTACATCGGCATGTAGGCAGGACATAAGGACACTCATGAAGGGTACCTTCAATAGAATCTGTGCACCTCTTTTTCTCATCATTTTATCTCTGGTGATCGCAGCAACTTAGAATTTCTGTGAAGAGAGCTTCAGTAGTCTGTTCTGTGAGAAGGAAGATGACACTTATATCACAGAGTTGTGTTAAAGTTCCTACACCTTACTGAGGTACGCCATAAGGACTTAATATTTTCTATTTTTGAATAAAAGAGAAGTAGTTATTGTCAGGAAAAGCGATGGGATAAACTAATGGGGTTAGAAAATGTCATTGGCGTTATTGTGTTGAGTCCTCTGGGCCATTCCAGGGCTGGAAGAAAGGAATAATCAGATGTAATAATTGTGGCTATGGGAACACTGAGAGGACCTGGGGACTGGCTAGATGAGGAGGTGTGAAGAGTGAGAAAGTCAAAGATAAGAAGACAATCGATATGTCAAATCTGATTACAAAAGCAAATGGTGGAACTGTTGACTTGGAGCTGTGGGGTAGGAAGGCTGGTGACCTGATGGGGAGGAGTGGATGTCCTCTCCAAGGGAGAGAGTGGGAGAAAATAGATTTTCCCTCAGAATTTTCTTCCTTTCTTTTTTTTCTTTTTCTTTTTTTTTTTTTGAGACAGAGTCTCACTTTGTTGCCCAGGATGTAGTGCAGTGGTGCGATCTCAGCTCCCTGCAACCTCTGCTTCCCAGGTTGAAGTGATTCTCCTGCCTCAGCTTCCCAAGTATCTGGGGCTTCAGGCATGCACCACCACACCCAGCTAAATTTTGTATTATTAGTAGAGATGGGGTTTCACCCTGCTGGCCAGGCTGGTCGAACTCCTGACCTCAAGTGACCCACCAGTCTCGGCCTCCCAAAGTGCTAGGATTACAGGCGTGAGCCACCGCACCCAGTTGGGTGCACTAAAATTTCAGACTTCACTTATAATCTCTATTATAAGTGAAGAATTTTCTTATTATCTGTATTTACTTTGTAGCAGGAATAGGAAATCACACAAGTACATTGAAGTTGTTTTTTTTTTTTTTTTGAGACGAAGTCTCGCTCTTGTCGCCCAGGCTGGAGTTCAATGGTGTGATCTCCTGGGTTCACTGCAACCTCTGCCTCCTAGGTTCAAGTGATTCTCCTGCCTCAGCCTCCTGAGTAGCTGGGATTACAGGCACCTGCCACCATGCTCGGCTAATTTTTGTATTTTTAGTAGAGACAGGGTTTCACCATATTGGCCAGGCTGTTCTCAAACTCCTGACCTCAAGTGATCTGCCTGCCACGGCCTCCCAAATCGTTGGGATTACAGGCATGACCTACTGCGCCTGGCCTGTTTCTTGATTTAAAAATAGTTTTAGGTTAGACTTCAGATGGAAAAGTCAAGCAGTTGAAGGAGAGATAGGCATAGCTATAACCATATTGGTAATTATAAGTATATGCTATACATTTTCCCCTGCCTTCTCTTTTCTCCTGGGGGTAGGGGATGTGGGTATGTCCTTCAACTGGCCATGTCTGTGTCTGGGAACGTGCTATTCCTGATGTCACAGTGTGTTTCCTCTGCATCTCTGGACACGAAGCACATGGCAGCTTCTCCCTTGAAGGGATGTGAGCCGATTATCAGTCATGGATAATCAGCTGACATCCAAGCATGGCAGGCAGCCCACAAGCTGCATTTCTTTTGTGAAGCTGGGGAGGGATCTTGCTACTGCATCATTTGCTGACTGTGTATCAGCCACTGGGAAAAAAATGAAAGGTGTCAGAAGCAGATACTCAGAGCTGATTGTTGTAGGCCTGAGAGCCTTAAAATTTTGGGAAGGGGATAGTGATCAACCACTAAGAATCATGATGAAAGGTTTGGAGTTCCTCCCAGGGGAAGAAAGGCATGTTTGAAAACACACACACACACACACGCTCACACATTGCATATATTTTCATGGAGTTTGGTCATGGATTCCAGTGTAAGATCCTATTATGTAGGGCATCCTTTCTAGAACTGTGTATTCTTATTAGCTTTCAGAGGGCAGAAATGCTTTGTAATAATCTCCATTCAGCTAAAATCAGTGATGTTTTTTCTTTTTCCCTTTAAATAAACTTTACTTTTTACAACTGTTTTAGGTTCATAGTAAAAGTGAGCAGAAAATACAGAGTTCCCATATTTTCCCTGTCCCCCTGCCTGCCCTCAAATGCACAGCCTCTCCCACTATCAACATCCCCCACCAGAGTGGTACATTTGTTACAATTGATGAACCTACATTGATAAATCATTAACACCCAAAGTCCATAGTTTACATTAGGGTTCACTCTTGGTATTGTACATTCTATGGGTTTTGACACGTGTATAATGACTTGTATTCACGATTAGAGTATCATGTAGAATAGTTTCACTGCCCTAAAAATCCTCTGTGCCCTTCCTATTAATTCCCACTCCTCTTAGCAACCTCTAGCAATCACCGACCTTTTTATTGTCTGCACAGTTTTACCTTTTCCATGTTATATAGCTGGAATTATACAGATATAACTATACATCTGAAAAGGCTATAATAAATATGTATCTAAGTTTCCTCCATGCCTTCTCATGGCTTGATAGCTCTTTTCGTTTTAGCACTGTAAATATTCCATTGTCTGGATGTCCCACAGTTTATTTATCCATTCACTTATTGAAGGACATCTTGGTTGGTTGCTTCCAAGTTTTGGCAATTATGAATAAAGTTGCTATAAACATCCATGTGCAGATTTTTGTGTGGACATAAGTTTTCAACTCATTTGGGTAAATACTAAGGATTGCAATTGCTGGACTGTATGACAAGAGTATATTTAGTTTTGTAAGAAGCTGTCAAACTGTGTTGCAAAATGGCTATACCATTTTGCATTCCTACCAGCCATGATTGAAGAGTTCCTATTGCTCCACAGAATTGGTGTTGTCAGGATTCTGGATTTTGGCCATTCTAATAGGTGTGTAGAGGTATCTCATTGTTTCAATTTGTAGTTTTCTGATGACATGTGAAGCAGAGCATCTTTTCTTGTGCTTTTTTTTCCCATCTGTTTATCTTCTTTGGTAATATGGCTGTTCAGATCTTCTGCTGATTTTTAAATTGGGTTCTTCACTTTTTTGGGGGTGGGGACAGAGTCTTGCTCTGTTGCCCAGGCTGGAGTGTAGTGGCGTGATCTTGGCTCACTGCAACCTCTGCCTCCCATGTTCAAGTGATTCTCCTGCCTCAGCCTCCCAAGTAGCTGGGACTACAGGCACACGCCACCATACCCAGTTAATTTTTGTATTTTTAGTAGAGGTGTGGTTTCACCATGTTGGCCAGGATGGTCTTTATCTCTTGGCCTCATGATCCACACATCTCGGCCTCCCAAAGTGCTGGGATTACAGGCGTGAGCCACCACGCCTGGCCTGGTTCTTCATTTTCTTACTGTTGAGTTTTAAGAATTCTTGGCATATTTTGGATAACAACTTTTTATCAGATACGTCTTTTGCAAACATTTTCTGCCAGTCTGTAGCTAGTATTCTAATTATCTTGATACTGTCTTCAGCAGAATAGAAGTTTTTACTTTTAATGAATTCCAGCTTATCAATTATTTCTTTCATAGATCGTGCCTCTGGTATTATAACTAAAAAGTCATAACTATATCTCAGGTCATTTAGATGTTCTATGCTATCTTTTAGGAGTTTTATAGTTTCGCGCTTTACATTTAGGCCTATGATCTGAATTTTGAGTTAATTTTTTGTGAAGGGTGTAAAGTCTATATTTTATGTGTAGCTGTCCAGTTGTTTCATATATTAAAAAGCTTTATCCATTGTACTGCCTTTGCTCCTTTGTAAAAAAAGATCAATTGACTATATTTATGTAAGTTGATTTCTGGGCTCTCTATTCTGTTTCATTGATCTATTTGCTATTCTTTTGTCAATAACACACTGTCTTGGTTACCGTAGCTTTATAGTAAGTCTTGAAGTTGGGTAGTGTCAATCGTCAAACTTTGTTCTTTTTTTTCAATAATGTGTTGGCTATTCTAGTTCTCTTGTCCCTCCAAAGGAAGTTTAGAATCAGTTTGTTGGTATCTATAAAATAACCTCACAAGATGTTGACTGGAATTGTGCTGAATCTATAGATTAAATTGGAAAGAACTGACGTCTTAACAATATTGAGACTCCCTGTCCGTAAACATGGAATATCTCTACATTTATTTAGTTCTTTGATTTCTTTCACCAGAGTTTTGTAGTTTTCCTCATGTAGATCTTGTATAAATTTTGTTAGGTTTATACATAAAGTATTTCATTTTGGAGGTGGTGCTAATACAAAAGATATTATATTTTTAACTTCAAATTCTACTTGTTTATTGCTGGTATATAGAAAAGTGATTGGCTTTTGTATGTTAGCCTTGTATCTTGCAATCTTGCTATAATTGTTTATTAGTTGAAGGAGTTTTAAAAATCAATTATTTCAGAATGTCTATGTAGACAATAATGTCTAAGTCATGTGCACAAAGACAGTTGTATTTCTTCCTTCCCAATGTGTATACTTTTGTTTTCTTGTCTTATTGCGTTAGCTAGGTTGTCTAGTTTTATGTTGAAAAGAAGTGGTGAGAGGGAACATCATTGCCTTGTTCCTGATTTTTGTGGGAAAGCTTTTAGTTTGTTACCATTAAGTATGATGTTAGCCATAGGTTTTTTGTAAATGTTCTTTATCAAGTTGAGGAAGTTATCCTCTATTGCTATTTCCTGTGACTTTTTATCATGAATAGATGTTGGATTTTGTCAGATTTTTTTTGCACCTGTTGATATGATATGTGATTTTTCTCCTTTAGCCTGTTGATATCATATATGATGGATTACATTATTTAATTCTCAAACATTGCACTAGCCTTGCATACCTAGGATAAATGCCACTTGGTTGTAATATGTAATTCTTTTTATACTTGTTGGATTTGATTTGCTAAAATTTTCTTGAGGATTGCATCCATGTTCATGAGAGATATTGATCTATAGTTTTCTTCTAAAGTCTTTTTTAGATTTTGCAATTAGGGTAATGCTGGCCTTATATTAATACAATGAGTTAGGAAATAGTCCCTCTTCTTCTGTCTTCTGAAAGAGATTGTAGAGAATTAGTATAATTTCTTCCTTAAATGTTTGGAGGAATTCACCAATGAACCCATCTGGGCCTTGTGCTTTTTGTTTTGGAAGGTTATTAAAATTGATTCAATTCCTTTAATAGATATAGGCCTATTCAGATTGTCTGTTTCTTCTTGTTTGAGTTTTGGCAGATTGTGTCTTTTAAAAAATTAGCCTATTTCATCTAGGTTATTAAATTTGTGGGCATAGAGTTGTTCATAATATTCCTTTATTATTGTTTCAATGTCCATGGGATCTGTACTGATGTCCTGTCTTCCTTTTTTTCTTTTCTTTCTTTTTTTTTTTTTTGGAAGTACAATACAGCCAAGAAATTTAATGCATTAAATCTGAAGGAACATAAGAAGTAATTAACAAATTTACATTAGAACACTTGGTACGCTCTGTCAGAAAGAAACAGATTCAGTAGGCATAATATTTAAAAGGGCAATTATAAAACTTGAACTGCATGATAAAAACAGGGTTATGTAAATATCATAATTATCTCATGTCAAGTCAGCAAATCTCCAGGGACAAAATTCACAAGCAACAAAAATGAAGAGAGGTCTATATACATCAAATTGACAATGGAAATCCTTACATTTCTACAGTTCTTTCTGCTGGCCTGATGACAAGAGCCCAGTCTGTTAAATTTTAGAAGTTACAAGGCAGCAGAAATCATTTTTGATATTAGTAATTTGTGTCATCTCTTTTTTTCTTAGTTAGCCAGGCTAGAGGCTTATTAATTTTTATCTTTTCAAGGAAACAGCTTTTGGTTTTGTTGACATTCTCTATTGATTTCCTATTTTCAGTGTTATTGATTTCTGCTCTAATTTTTATTCTCTCTTTGGATTTAATTTGCTCTTTTTTTCTAGTTTCCTAAGGTATAAGCTTGATGATCGATTTTAGATCTTTTTTCCTTTCTAATATGTGCATTCAATGCTATAAATTTTCCTCTAAGTGCTGCTTTCACTGCATACCACAAATTTTGATATATTTTATTTTCTATTTCACTTAGTTCCAAATATTTTTAAACTTCTCTTGAGATTTATTCTTTGACCCATGCGTAATTTGGAAGTGTGTTGCTTAATCTGCAAGCATTTTGGGATTCTCCAGCTTTCTATCATCATTTTCTAGTTAAATTCCATTGTAGTTTAAGAGCATACATTGTATGATTTCTATTCCTTAAAATTTAAGGTGTGTTTTATGGTCCAGAATGTGGTATATCTTGGTGTATGTTCCATGTGAACTTGAGAAGAATACATATTCTTCTGTTGTTGGATGAAGTAGTCTACAGATATTCATTATCTTCACTTTATTAATGGTGTTGTTGAATTCAGCTATGTCTTTATTGATTTTTCTGCATTCTGGATCTGACCATTTTCTGATAGAGGGGTGTTGAAGTCTCCAACTATAATCATAGATTTACCAATTTCTCCTCTTCCAGTGTGATGATTTTGCCTTACATGTTTTGATGCTCTGTTTTTAGGTAGACACACATTAAGGATTATTATGTCTTCCTGGAGAATTGACCCCTTTATCATTATGTAATGCCCCTGTGTCTTAGTCAGCTCAGGCTGCCTTAACAAAATACCATAGGGCTGAGGACAGTGGCTCACACCTGTAATCCCAGCACTTTGGGAGGTCAAGTTGAGTAGTTCACTTGAGGCCAGGAGTTTGAGACAAACCTGGGCAATATAGTGAGACCCTGCCTCTTCAAAAAGATAAAAAAAAAATAGCTGGATGTGGTGGGTGGCATGTACCTGTAGTTCCAGCTACTTGGGAGGCCAAGATGGGAGGACTGCTGGAGCCCAGCAATAGTCTACAGTGAGCTGTGGTTGAGCCACTGCACTCTAGCTGGAGTGATGAAGCGAGAGCCTATCTCAACAAAAACTAAAACAAATAACAAAATACCCTTATGGACCGTGTGGCTGAAACAGCACACATTTATTTTCTCACAGTTCTGGAGGCTGGAAGTCTGATCAGGGTACCAGTATAATACATTTCAAGTAAGGCCTCTCTTCTTGGCTGAATGGCTGCCATCTTGCTGTGTGCTGACATGACCTCTTTTTGTGTGTAGAGAGAGAATGAGATCTCTGGTGTCTCTTCTTATAAAGATACTTATTCCATTAAAACAGGCACCCTTCCTTAAGACCTCATTTAGCTTTAAGTACCTCCTTTATAGGCCTTATCTCTAAATACAGTCACATTGGGGGTTAAGACTTCAACATATAAATTTTGAGGTATTCAGTTCAGTCTACAGCACCCTCTTTATCCCTGATAATTACCTCAGCTCTGGAGTCTGGTCTGTCTGAAATTAATATAGCTACTCCAGTTTTCTTTTGATTAGTGTTAGCGTGATATATTTTTCTCCATCCCTTTACTTTTAATTATATGTATTTTTATATTTAAGTGGTATTCATGTAGACAACATAATGTTGGATCTTGTTTTTAATCTACTTTGGCAATATCTTTTAGTTGTCATATGTTGACTATTGATGTTTAAAGTAATTATTGATATTGTTGGATTAATATCTACCATATTTGTTACTGCTTGCTATTAATTGCCCTTGTTCTTTGTTCCTATTTTTGTCTTCCACTCTTTTTTCTGCCATTTGTAGTTTTAATTTAGCATTTTATATGATTCAATTTTCTTTCTTTTCTTAGCACATCAATTACACTTCTTTTTTTACTTCTTTCAGTGGTTGCCTTAGAATTTGCAATATACATTAACAATGAGTCCAAGTCTACTTTCAAATAACTCTATAACACTTCACAGGTAGTGCAAGTACCTTATGATAATAAAATATTCCTAATTCATGCCTCTTATCCCATTGCTGTCATTCACTTTACTTAAACATAATTTCTAATCAAGTGCATTGTTGCTGTTATTATTTTGAACAAACTGTTATCTGTTAGGTCAATTAAGAATAAGAAAAAGAAAAGTTTTTATTTTACTTTATTCCTTCTCTAATACTCTTGTTTTCTTCATTCAGTTCCTAGTTTGACTTATATAATTTTCCTTCCCTCTTAATAACTTTTAAAAATATGTCTTGTAAGGCAGGTCCACTGGCTATAAATTCCCTGAATTTTTTTTCTTTCCTTCCTTCCTTCCTTCCTTCCTTCCTTCCTTCCTTCCTTCCTTCCTTCCTTCCTTTCTCTCTCTCTCTCTCTCTCCTTTTCCTTTTCTTTTCTTTTTTTTTCTTTCTCTGTTGGCTAGGCTAGAGTGTAGTGGCATAATCATAGCTCACCGTAGCCTCAACCTCATGGGCTGAAGGGAATCTCCCATCTTAGCCTCTTGAGTATCTGGGACTATAGTTGAGCACCACCACTCCTGGCTAATTTAAAAATTTTTTTGTAGAGACAGGGTCTCACTATGTTTCCCAGGCTGGTCTCAAATTCCTGGCCTCAAGTGATCCTCCTACTTCAGCCTCCAAAGTGCTGGGATTACAGACATGAGCTGCCACACACAGCCTTTTTTTTTTTAATCTGAGAAAGTCTTTATTTCTTCTTTACTTTTGAAGGATAATTTCACAGGATGGAGAATTCTAGGCTAGTGGTGTTTTTTTTTCTCAACATTTTAAATATTTCACTTCACTCTCTTTATGCTTGCATGGTTTCTGAGGAGAAGTTGGATATAATTCTTATCTTTACTCCTCTATAGGTAAGGAATTTTTTCCTCTGGCTTCTTTCATCTTTTTTCTTACCTTTGATTTTCTGCAGCTGAAGATTATATGCCTAGGTGTAAATATTTTTTTGGGCACTTATTCAGTTTGGTGTTCTCTGAGGTATCTCTAAGGTTCCTGAATTTGTGGTTTGGTATCCAACATTCTCAGTCATTATTCCTTCAAATATTGCTTCTGTTCCTTGCTCTCTTTATTCTCCTTCTGATATTCCCATTATGTGTATGTTTCACATTTTGTAGTTGTTCCACAGTTCTTGGATATTCTGTTTTTTAAAAAATATTTTTTCTCATTGCTTTTCAGTTTTGGAAGTTTCTGTTTATATATCCTCAAGCTCAGAGATTGTTCCTTCAGCTACATGCAGTCTACTAATGAGCCCATCAAAAGCATTCTTTATTTCGTTACACTGTTTTTATATTTGGCATTTCTTTTTTATTCTTTCTTAGCACTTCCATCTTTCTGCCTATGTTATCCGTCTGTTCCTGCATACTGTCTCCTTTTTCCATTAAAACTCTTAGTGTATTAATCATAGTTGTTTTAAATTCACAGTCTGATAATTCTATGAGTCTGGTTCTAGTGCTTGCTCTGTCTTTTTAAACTGTGTTTTTTGCCTTTTAGTATGCCTTGTAATTTTTTGTTGAAAGCTAGACATGATGTACCAGATAAAAAGAACTCTGGTAAATAGGCCTTCAGTAATGTGGTAGTTGGTATTAAGGGAGGAAAAGTGGTCTCTGGTCCTATGATTGGGTCTCAGTCTTTTAGTGAGCCTGTGCCCCTGGGTTGTGAATTTCACAAGTGCCTCTCAGTTCCCCCACTGCTTAGTGGGACAATGTGGCTAGAGACAGCTGGAGTAGGTATTTCCCTCCCCAAGGCTTGGTTAGCCTCGAATAAAACCCCAATAGTTTAGGCTCTCATAAAGTAGATTCTCTTGAGGGCAGGCCTTGTTAACAACAGAATGCTCTGGCATATTTCAATGCTCTGTTGTATTTTCTCTCTCCGTGTTGGAAGCACAAGGGATTTTTCTCTGATTCACTTTGAGAACCAGGAGGCAAGACTTACAAAAGTATAGGACTCCCCCTGTAGTTCTAAACTCTCAGATTTGTCCACACTAAGCCTCTAGTAATTTGTCAGTTACAGTTCAAGGTTTTTCTACCCTGCTACTGGTTCCTGTGGATGTTTCTGTTTGTGTTGTGTTTCTGCTCCAGTATTTCGATTCTCTGTACCCTCTCTGTCTATCCCTCCAATTTTGGGAGGCAGTATATTGCCTGGTGAGCTCACTTCTCTGATAGATCTGAGAGTTGTTTATTTTTCAGTCTGTTCAAATTTTTACTTGTTGTTTGAAAGGAGTGGGGACTTTGAAGCTCCTTACATGCTGGGCCAGAAAGAGTGATGTTTTCTTCAAAGTGAAATCTGATTTTCCTCACTCATGTTCGTATGATAGGGTTTCTTTTGTTGATGAGGGGGGCATGCCACTGGCAAGGATCATTTGAAAACTAGACCCTGTAGTTTTATGTGGTGTGAAGAACACATTTTAAAGAGCCAGTTACCCAAGTCCTTCTCCCTGCTGAGTCCATGCCAGAGCTGGTTTGAGGGGTTCAGGGTCAAGGGCAGATGAATCTCAAAGAGAAGCCCTGCTGATGACATTGGTCAGTGAGAAGTCTACACGAGCATCTTCCCATAATTCATAAAATAAACTGCTGAGTGAGAATCTAATTAAAAATGTTTTCGGTCTAAAAAGATGTAAATGAAAAGAATATATCTTCAAAGTCTCAAAAAATGCAGAGTGCAGGCAGGAGAAACGAAGTTACTTACCAGATCCTGGAGAGCTCTTGAATTTTAAAACAGGTAAGTTTGTATGAGTAAAAGGATGTACACTCTTCACGGCAGTAAATTTCTAGAACTCTTTTCCTATAAAGAAGTGACATGATGGCAATGTGATTGTTGAGGATTATTATGGGAATATTATGGGAAACATTTAGAAGTTAGTGACAGGGTGGGTAGACATATTCTCTCACAAATCTTCTTAATGTTATTGGCCTCTGATAAAAGCACATATTTGTGTTATAGCTGGGGTCCCCAAACCCTGGGCCACAGACTAGTATTATGAAACCAGTTGGCACAGCAAGAGGTGAGCAGAGGGAGAGGGAGTATTTACCACCTGAGCTCCAGCCTCCTGCCAGATCAGCGGTGGCGTTAGATTCTCACAGGAGAATTAACCCTATTATGAACTGTGCATGTGGGGGATCTAGGTTGTGGTCTCCTTATGAGAATCAAATGCCTGATGAACTGAGATGGAACACTTTCATCTGGAAACCACACAACCCACCTCCTCCCCCATCCATGGAAAAATTATCTTCCATCGAAACTGGTCCCAGGTACCAAAAAGGTTAGGGACTGCTGTGTTATAGGACCTAAGGGTATGCATTTTATACACTAAACTCACCCTGATTCATCTATTTTCCTTAGCTCTGATTTGCTCACTTACTTTAGCAGATATGGTTGGGCTCCACCCAGACTCCCTCCTTACTATTTATGTGCATACCAACCCTACAGCCTTCCAGATGCAGAACCTGTGACTCTTTCCTGAGGGTTTTCTCTGGCCATTGTAGCCTGCTAAAATTGTGTACAGTGCAGTGCCTTGGAGTTAATACCTTCAAGAGAGCAGCCCTCAACTAATGGCTGGTGGGAATTGATAGATTAATACCCCAGGCTCCTTGTTTCTCAGGAAAGGAGCCAGCTCTACACTGTCTCCCAAATAGAATATAGCCCTATTTGTCCACAGCTGTAACCTGTTCAATAACACACCCTGATTGTTTCTTTTCCTTCCTGATCTCACTTCCCACCCCCCTACTGATGCTTTCTAGGATCATGTCCCAAATAAGCTACTTGCACTGAAATCCTTGGCTCAGTGTATGCCTCTAGGAGAACCCAGCTGAAGACACTGAATTTTTAAAAATTTTGTTGAATAGATAGGCTTTTAAATTGCTTTAATCCTACTTAGAACGTAGTGAAGTATAAATGA
Source organism: Homo sapiens (assembly GCF_000001405.40). Classification (NCBI taxonomy): domain Eukaryota; kingdom Metazoa; phylum Chordata; class Mammalia; order Primates; family Hominidae; genus Homo; species Homo sapiens. The sequence goes on along the minus strand of NC_000009.12, from coordinate 32,801,234 downwards.
ATAAAAATAAAGCCTCAATACTATTATTGAGTTTTATCCAAATCAGTTTTTGTAGCTTTTAATTTTATAACCTTTAATTTCAATTTCAAACACAGAAAGGTGCAAGAGCAGCACAAAAAATGCCATATGCCATTCATCCAATTTTCCATATCCTTCATCCAGATGACCACATTTACCTATTATTTGTCTTCATCTGTTTTTGCTGCTATAACAGAACAACTGAGACTGAGTAATTTATAATGAACAGAAATTTATTGGCTCACAGCTCTGGAAGCTGAGAAGTCCAAGGTCAAAGGACCAGCATCTGGCTAGGACCTTCTTGCTGAATCATCCCATGGCAGAAGACAGAAGGACAAAAGAAGGCAAGAGAGTGTGCTTGCAGATTCAAGTCCTTTTTATAATTGCCATTAATCCATTCATGCGGGTGGAGCCCTTATAACTTAAACACATCCCTGTAAGCCATACTTCCCAATATTATTGCCTTAGGGAATAAGTTTCCAACACATGCTTTTTGGAGGACACACTCAAACTGCAGCATCATTCTTCTGAATCTTTTGAGAGTAAGGTGCAGATGTGATGCTCCTTTCTCCCTAAGTACTTCAGTATCTGTTCCATAAGAATAAAGGCACGTTTTTAATATAACCATAGCAAAATGATCAAAATCAGAAAATTATCATTGGCACAGTACTACTTTCTAATCTAAAAACCTTATTACAATGTTTCTAATTGTCCCAATGTTGTTTAATAACAAAATTTCCCCCTTAGGTTCAATATCTGATCCAGGATTATGCATTGCATTTAGTGTCATGTCTCTAGTTTCTGTTAATCTGGATCATTTCTTAGTCTTTGTTTTTTTATGACCTTGACATTTTTGAATACTATAGGCCAGGTATTTTGTAGAATGTCCCCCAGTCTGGATTATTCTTATGTCTCCTCATGATTATTTTGTGATTATCCACTTTTTGGCAGAAATACTATCAAAGTGATTACATGTTCTTCTCAGCACATAATATCAAAAGGCACCATTACTGATGATGATATTAACTTGGTCACTTTGTTAAGGTGTCATCTACCAGGTTTATCTGCTGTAAGATTACTATTTTTCTTTTTGTAATGAATAAGTGTTTGATGGAAACATGATAAAAAGTAAAAAAAAGATTAAAGTAAGAGGAGATAAGTCAAAGAGAAACAGGAGCAAGCCAGAAAGTGTTCTCCTTGGCCAAATTTGGGGCAATTTAATCATTAAAAAATGATAGTTACAGAATTCTACCCATTGCATAAAATGACAATCTATGACAATTTGATTATTAAAAATAATAGTTATTTGTCAATTATACCTCAGTAAAGCTGGAAAAATGACTGTAACAGAAGATAACCCATTGCATAAAATAATAGTCCATGAATTCATACTCATTTATAAATAAATAAGTGAACAAATAAAGGGAGGAGAAGGAAAAGTTCTTTATTAGGGTAGAATTACAATTGACAAATGTAGAATGAGTGAAGAAAAATGAATAGCAGTCATTAGAGTAATAATTGATTCAGGCAAGAATCATCAATGGGTGCTAAAACTTTCATCATTGGGCTATAATCATATTACATCAATAATTATGTAATCAAAAATTACATAATCCAACTCACTTTTATCAAGCAAAGGACTTTGTCAGGACTCTGTGGGGAATGGCAAACAGAAGACCATGTTCTTTTGGTCAGGCTTGGTGGCTCACGCCTGCAAACCCAGCACTTTAAGAGGCTAAGGTGGGTGGATCAATTGAGTCCAGGAGTTCAAGACCAGCCTGGACAACATGGTGAAACCCTATCTCTACTGAAAATACAAACAATTAGCCAGATGTGATGGTGCATGCCTGTAGTCCCAGCTATTCAGGGGGCTGAGGTGGGAAGTTCGCTTGAGCCCAGAAGCTCAAGGCTACAGTGAGCCCTGATTGTGCCACTGCACTCCAGCCAGGGTGACAGAGTGAGACCCTGTCTCAAAAACAAACAAACAAAAAACCATGTTCTCCCAAGATTTTATTTTTTAATTTTATTAATTTTTTAAATTTAAAATTTTTATGGATTAATAATGGTTGTGCACATTTATGGGGTGCATGTGATAGTTTGATATAATTATACAATGTGTAATGATTAAATTAGGATAATTGGAATGTTCAGCACCCAAACATTCACCACTTCTTTGTGTTGGACACATTCCAAATGCACTCATCTAGTTATTTTGAAATATACAGTGAATTATTGTTAGCTATAGTCACCCCATTGTGCTACTGAATACTAGATCTTATTCCTTCTATCTAACTGTACTTTTGTACCCATTAACCAATGACTCTTTATCTCTCCTCCCCTCTACCCTTTTCAACCTCTGATAACCATTATTCTACTCTCCACCTTCATGAGACCAATTTTTTCAGCTTCCAGGTGTAAGTATCTGTCTCTTTGTGCCTGGCTTATTTCATCAAACATAATGTCCTCCAGATCCATCAAATGACAAGATTTTATTCTGTTTTTATGGCTGAATAGTGTTCTGTTGTCTACATGTACCACATTTTCTTTATCCATTCATCTGATGGTACACCCATTGGTTGATTCCATATTTGGCTCTTGTGAATAGCGCTGCAATAAACATGGGAGTGAATGTATCTCTTTTATATGTTGATTTCTCCCTAGACTTTATTTTATTTTATTGTTAGAGATGGGGTCTTGCTATGTTGCCCAGGCTGGTCTTGAACTCCTGAGCTCAAGCAATCCTCCCACCTTGGCCTCCCAAAGTGCTGGGATTACAGGCATGAGCTACTGCACCTGGCATCCCTAGACTTTAAATAGCCTACTAGCTAATAGAGAAGATTTGTGTACACAAGCCATTACAACACAAAATAAATTGATGGCGTATCATATAAAATGAAGAGGAAAAATGAAACTATCCAAGACAGAATATTAGATGGAATGCACAATGTGTCTGACCCAGTGTGGTACTGTTTTTACATTGTCTCTCATATGCACACAGTCCCCTAACATCAAATGTTTTCAGTGAGGAAGAAAACAGGCTCTAATCCTTGGGACTAATGAGTGAGGAGGGAGAGAGATGTCTTTGTAGGCAGCTGCTACTTTGGTTTCCAAGGGAAACAGTGGTAGAAGCTGCAAAAGTAAAGGAGTGGGAAGGCTGTGGTTTAGCACAGATGGGTCATTCTACAAAGTGTCTCTACACAGGCAGTTACCTGGACTTCCTCAGAGTCCTTGGATAATAAAAATACTAAAGTGTTGGGATATTAATAAACAATAGATTTTAATTTTTCTTCCTGAATTTCTTGGGGAAAATCTTCATTCTTAGAATCTATTTTCTCTACAATCCATCAAAGCCTGAGTATATTTCTCTCCCAGGGCCGTAGTATGGTTTTCTCTTCTGCACAGTTCACAGGTCCAAGTCACAGGGAAGAAAGAAGGAAATTAGCCACTGCAATCCATGCACCAAAAGCATGATTAAAATAGTACAAAAGAAAATGATAAAGTAAACCATTCTCTATTCTGGCAGCTAGAGAAAGCTTCCGAGATCTCTAATGCAAATCTCCATTTCAAATTCACCATCAGAACGTGGTTCAGATACTTTCCCTGTGATTCCAATGCAGCTGTGTACCTGTAGCTAGGATCCTGCTGGGATCTCAGGAATGGTTTGGCAGGGAGAAGAGTTGACCAGGAATGGTTGGGACAAACTTGATCCTGATGGAGTGGGCTTTTACCAGGCAGACAAGGAGTCTAAATCCCAGGGTCTAAAGAGGGCCTGTCCCACTTGGGTTCCCTCAGATCTCCCTCACTAAGCAAAAGGTCTGGTTTTTGTGCACATAGTCCCTGCAAGGTCTGGAGACAGGTAGGGAGTTGTGAGCCCAGTTGAGCAAGTTAGGGTAGAGGACTAGGCTTCTGTTCCATCAGGGAAAGTGGAGTACACTGCCCCAAAACAGAATCTCAGTCTTAGGAATTAAATAAACTGAATTATTCATTGATATGGTTTGGCTATGTCCCCACCCAAATCTCATCTTGAATTCCCACGTGTTGTTGAAGTGACCTGGTGGGAGGTCATTGAATCATGGGGGCAGATCTTTCCTGTGCTGTTCTCATGATAGTGAATAAGTCCTATGAGATCTGATGGTTTTAAAAAGGGGCGTTCTGGCACAAGCTCTCTCTTCTCTTGTCTGCTGCCATGTGAGACATGCCTTTCACCTTCCGCCATGATTGTGAGGCCTCCCCAGCCATGTGGAACTGTAAGTCCAATCAAACTCTTTCTTTTGTAAATTTCCCAGCCTTGAGTGTGTCTTTATCAGCAGTGTGAAAACAGACTAACATAGTAAATTTGTACCAGGAGTTGGATGCTGCTGAAAAGATACCCAAAAATGTGGAAGTGACTTTGGAACTAGGTAACAGGCAGAGGTTGCAACAGTTTGGAGGGTTCACAAGAAGACAGAAAAAAGTGGGAAAGTTTGGAACTTCCTAGAGACTTGTTTTATGGCTTTGACCAAAATGCTGATAATAATATGGACAATGAAATCCAGGCTGAGGTGGTCTCAGATGGCGATGAGGAACTTGTTGGGAACTGGAGCAGAGGCGACTCTTGTTATGTTTTAGCAAAGAGACTTGCAGCATTTTGCTCCTGTCCTAGAGATTTGTGGAACTTTGAACTTGAGAGAGATGATTTAGGGTATGGCAGAAGAAATTTCTAAGCAGCAAAGCATTCAAGAGGTGACTTGGGTGCTGTTAAAGACATTCAGTTTTATAAGGGAAGCAGAACATAAAAGTTAAGAAAATTTGCAGCCTGACAATGCTATAGGAAAGAAAATCTCATTTTCTGAGGAGAAATTCAAGGTGGCTGCAGAAATTTGCATAGGTAACGAGGAGCCAGATGTTAATCCCCAAGACAATGGGGAAAATGTCTCCAGGGCATGTCAGAGGTCTTCACAGCAGCCCCTCCCATCACAGGCCCAGAGGCCTAGGAGGAAAAAATGGTTTCCTGGGTCAGGCCCATGGCCCCCATGCTGTGTGCAGTCTAGGGGCTTGGCACCCTGCATCCCAGCTGCTCCAGGTGTGACTAAAAGTGTCCAAGGTACAGCTTGGGCCGTTGCTTCAGAGGGTGGAAGCCCCAAGCCTTAGCAACTTCCATGTGGTGTTGAGCCCGCAAGTGCACAGAAGTCAAGAATTGAGGTTTGGGAACCTCTGCCTACATTTCAGGAGATGTATGGAAACGCCTGGATGCCCAGGTAGAAGTTTGTTGCAGGGGTGGGGCCCTCATGAAGAACTTCTGATAGGGCAGTGTGGAAGGAAAATGTGGGGTTGGAGCCCCAACATAGAATTCCTACTGGGGCACCACCTAGTGGGGCTGTGAGAAGAGGGCCACCGTCCTCCAGACACCATAATGGTAGATCCACTGCCAGCTTGCACTGTGTGCTTGGAAAAGCAGCAGACACTCAATGCCAGCCCATGAAAGCAGCTGGGAGGGAGGCTGTACCCTGCAAAGCCATAGGGGTGGACTGCCTAAGACCATGGGAACCCACCTCTTGCATCAGCATGACCTGGATATGAGACATGGTGTCAGAGGAGTTCTTTTTTGGGCTTTAAGATTTGACTGCCCACTGGATTTCTGACTTGCATGGGACCTGTAGCCCCTTTGTTTCAGCCAGTTTCTCCCATTTGGAACAGCTGTATTTACCCAATGCCTTTACTCCCATTGTATCTAGGAAGTAACTAACTCGCTTTTGATTTTACAGACTCATAGGTGGAAGGGACTTACCTTGTCTCAGATGAGACTTTTGACTGTGGACTTTTAAGTTAATGCTGAAATGAGTTAAGACTTTGGGGGACTGTTGGGAAGGCATGATTGGTTTTGAAATGTGAGGACATGAGATTTGGGAGGGTCCAGGGGCAGAATGATATGATTTGGCTGTGTCCCCACCCAAATCTCATCTTGAATTCTCACACGTAGTGGGAGGGATCTGGTGGGAGGCAATTGAATCATGGGGGCCCGTCTTTCCTGTGCTATTGTCATGATAGTGAATAAATCTCATGAGATCTGATGGTTTTAAAAAGGGTAGTTTCCCTGCACAAACTCTCTCTTCTCTTGTCTGCTGCCCTGCGCGAGATGTGTCTTTCACCTTCTGTCATGATTATGAGGCTCCCCAGCCATGTGGAACTGTAAGTCCAATAAACCTCTTTCTTTTGTAAATTGCCCAGTCTTGGGTATGTCTTTATCAGCAGTGTAAAAACAGACTAATACATTCATTAATTCAATTAAATTATTTACTGAATGTTTATTGTGTTCCAGACATTAGATCCAAATGCTGCTGCTTGGGCATAGCTGGGACTAGGGGCTATACCAGACTCCTGGATATAAAACCACTTAAAAGCAGCTGGTCATGGTAGTGCATGCCTGTTGTTCCAGCTACTCAGGTGGATGAGGTAGGAGGATTGCTTGAATCCAGCAGTTTGAGGCTGTAGATCATGCCTGTAAATTTTATCCTGGGCAACATAGCCAGATCTCACCTTTTAAAAAGTACACATGCACAAATTGAAGGAGACTTGGGACCCATATCATTGGTATAACCTGATAATTTTTTTAGAAATGGAAATTCTGGAGATGGCCCCAGCATTCTGTATTCCAACAAGCCCTACAGGTGATTCTGATGTATGCTAGGGCTTGAGAACTACTGGCCTACCTTAATGATATTTGCTTAGGCCTTGGGTAGGGCTAAGAATGCTCATTCAAGGTCTTGTAGGGTAGGACTAGGGAAGGCAAGGGTTATGTTTTCCAATGGGTTGCTGGTTCCTTGAGATATTAAATATGCATTATAAACCTTCTTAGAACTCTTATAAAAAGTCCATACCAATTTTTGTACCTACAGTGAAGGCAGGACCTAGCAACTATTGTTGGGTAAAGTTGGGAACCTCAAAATCTAACATCTGGAAGCAAAATATGTCCAGCAGATATATATTTTTTCTGATCATTCAAGTCTCCCTGCTGAGGGAAGAGGGGTTTATTGAGAGATTGCTACGCAGTGAATGACGAGGGCCAAGAAAATAAGGGTAATTCTGGGGGTTACGTAACTTTTTCTTCTTTCTTTTGATACTTCAATCTTTCTGACTTCTGGAAATTTGACTTCTCTGATTGATGCTTCTAGATTTGGGAATTGGGGGAAGACTTCACAAAGTATAGTTATTTGAATGCTAGTCTTCAGAAAAGCCCCATGGAATACTGTACACTCAGTTCCTGTCTTTGTCTTTTTTTTGGTGCTGCTATAATAGAATACCACATACTGGGTAATTTACAAAAACCAGAAATTCATTTCTCACAGTTCTGGAGGCTGGAAAGTCCAAGATCAAGCCACCAGTATCTAGTGAGGGCTGTTCTCTGCTTCCAAGATGGTGCCTTGAAAGTTGCATCCTCTGGAGTGAAGGAACACTATGTCTTCACATGGCAGAAGGTGGGAGGTCAAAAAAGGGCCAAACTCCCTTTGCTAAGCCCTTTTATAATGGTATTATTCTATTCATGGAGGTGGAGCCCTCATGATCTAAATACCTCCCAAAAGGCCCTACCTCCCAACACTGTTGCATTAGAAATTAAGTTTCCAATGCATGAACTTTTGGGGATATATTCAGACATGTGTTTTAAATTACCTTTTTATTTTTAATTGACAGATAATAGTTTTATATACTTATGGGGTAGAAAGTGATGGTTTGGTACCTGTATACATTGTACAATAATTATGTCAAGCTAAGGAACATAATACATCATCTCACATGCTTATGTTTTTATAGTGAGAACACTTAAGATCTATTCTTTCAGCAATGTTGAAAATACAATACATTATTGTTAACTATGGTCACCACACTTTACAATAGATTTGGAAAACTTACTCCTTTTGTCTAACTGAAACTTTGTACCTATCCACCAACATCTCCTCATTCCCTTACTCCAGCTTCTGGTAACCACACTTCTACTCTCTACTTCTATAAGTTGAACTTTTTTGGATTCCACATATGAGACCATGCCTGAATCTTTTCACTTAGCGTTGACATCCTCCAGGTTCATCCATATTGTCACAAATGACAAAATTTCCTTCTTTTTAAAGTCTGAATATTTCATTGTGTATAATATACAATGCTTTCTTTATCCATTCAACTGTTAGTGAAGATTTAGGTTCATATGTTGGCTATTGTGAATGGTGATGCAATAAATATGGGAGTGCAGATATCACTTCAACATACTGATTTCATATCGCTTGTGTATATATCCAGTAGTGGGATTGCTGGATTATATGGTAATTCTACTTTTAGTTTTCTGAGGAAGCTCAATGACTGTACTAATTTACATTCCCACCCACTGTGTGCAAAGATTCCTTTTTCTCCACATCCTCTCCAGCACTTGTTATCTTTTGTCTTTTTGATAATAACCATTTTAACAGGTGTGAGGTGATATCTTATTGTGACTTTAATTTGTATTTCTTTTATGATTAATTATTTTAAGCATTTTATACCTGTTGGTCATTTGGATGTCTTCTTTGGAGAAATGTCTATTCAAGTCATTTGCCCATTTAAAAATTGGATTGTTTTATTGCTATTGAGCTGTTTGAGCTCCTGATACATTTTGGATATTAACCTGTTTATGTGGTTTGGCTCTGTGTGCCCACCCAAATCTCACCTTGAACTGTAGTAATACCCATGTGTTGTGGGATGGACCTGGGGGTGGGGAGGTAATTGAATCATGGGGGCAGGTTGTTCCGGTGCTGTTCCCATGATAGTGAATAAGCCTCACAAGATGTGATGGTTTTATAAAGGGGAGTTCCCCTGCACATGCTCTCTTGACTGCTGCCATATAAGACATCCCCTTTGCCCTTCCTTTGTTTTCCTCCATGATTGTGAGGCCTCCCCAGCCATGTGGAACTGTGAGTCAACTAAATCTCTTTCATTTATAAATTACTCAATCTAGGGTATGTCTTTATTAGCAGTGTGAGAACAGATTAATACACCTGTTATCAGATGTATGGCTTGCAAATATTTCTCCCACTCCCTAGGTTATCTTCACTCTGTAGATTGTTTCCTTTTCTGTGCATAAGTATTTTAGTTTGGTGAAATCCCATTGTCTATTTTTGCATTCGTTGCCTGTGTTTTTGGTGTCATATCCAAAAAATCATTTGGGCCTTGAATTTTTGCAACCTGAAGGGTGACACCCTGCTTTGAGGGGATCTCGCCTGGGAGGAGAATTGAGCACAACCTGTGTCCCTTGTTTGCTCTTGCCTCAGCCTGCAACACATTGCTGGGGTCTTAGTTCTGGCCTCTGTATTGTTGCTTGCATTTAATACCCCATTCTTCTTTCAGTGGAAAATTTTGGCTGACTTTATGCATTTAAAATTATTTAACTTTACTGTCTTTATCCTTCTAATACTTCAGCTAGTCTTATTCACTTTATATTCATTTAGCTTCATAGTTTTTATTATACTTTTTAGTCTATTGTTGAATAGTTTTTTGAACCCATTTGATCTTATTTATTGGATACTATTTTATATTTAACTGTGCCCAGCAGGATATTTCTAGCTAAATATTGCCCTTATTGGAATATACACTTAAATTAAGTACATATTTATTTTCACAGCCATTTAAAAATATATTAAAATTCTCTAACATTTTCCTTTTACTCTTCACGTTTTTAAAACATTTTCTGTTTGGTTTGTCCTCTTAGTCCATTTTCTAGCATTTGCTTCCAAAGTAGAGAAGAGAAGTGGTAACGCTAGGGGGATGGAGGGGGTGGATGCCGCAAAAGTGACTGGCTTAATCAGGGATTGTTGGCTCTTTTCCCCATGCCCACAATTCTGCTCATTCTTTCCCTATGCTCCCTTTCCTATACATACTTAAAGGAGGTCTTTCTTTCTATTGTTAAAAGAGACCCTGATATTCACCACAGTCAAGATAAAGAGTTACTCCAATTAAATCCTATTTTTACCTAGTCAGATAGTTGGGAAAATTCACAGGAAAAATTACATGGGTCAGAAGTTATTAAGACTGGCCTCAAATTCTGCTCACAGGAATTGCTGAACAATGCTATCTCTTGTTCCAGAACAAGCCGGGACTTCTCTGAATTACAAACCATGGTCTCTGAGTATTTACAGCTTTCATGGAGAAGGGGAGCATCACTGGGGGCGGTGGGAGAGGGTCTGCACCTCAGCCCCTCAATATTGACCCAAGAGAATATCCAGGTCGTCTTGAAGGTCTTGTTTAGAATTATTGGTGAAAAAACATATTAGAAGGACAATAGTCAAAGCTGAGGAATTATATTTTGTTGACCTACTTGCAGGATTAACCTGAGTACATTGATTCACCTTATTTCTGGTCAGGAATTCAATGGTTGTCACATGCTCCTAGAACCACCAGTTCTTATCACGTGTTTGGTGCAGTCTCTGACTCATGGAGTGGAAGTTAGGTTAATCATGGAGGTAGGGGAAAATGTTCTGGAAGGATTTCTTTCTTTCTTCTTGTTATATAAGACGTGGTTTTCCCAAAGAAACAATATACTAAAATAAAAGTTAGGGTCCCAACCCACAGAAGCCAATTTTAACCCATATTGTTGCTGACTATATTCAACTTGAAAAAGAAAGTAGGCTTTGAGGGTGACCTAAATGGTGCAATTTAGAGTTTTCACTGAGCAAGATGGAATAAATGAGTGTGTCAGGGGGTGAAGTAGGGGATTGGAAAGATGGATAAAATGTGGTCCCTGCCTTCAAGGAGCTCACACTACAGTTGGAGAGACAGATACCCATGCAACTAATGTGTGTGATGATAGTGGTGGAGGGTGTTGTGAGGCCAGAGAATAATAGAAGGATTAGTTCTGAGTCGGAAAATCCAGAAGATGGTGGAAGATGTGGCAGCTTCTCCTTGAAGGACGTTAGGGCCTTACGCAGCAGAGGGGTGAAGACAGGGCATTTGAGGCACAGAAAATGGTTGGGGCAAAGCCTTAGGGTGGTCAGCTGCAGGGCACAATCAGGAATATTCAAGAAGCTCCCGCAGGGGATGGGAGGTAGTTCGGAAAAGCAGAGGAACAGAGTGGGCCTTTCTGAGTTGGTCTGGTGGTCTAATCACTTATATAGAAAATAATGGCCAGGTGCAGTGCTAGGATCACGCCTGTAATCCTAGCATTTTGAGAGGCTGAGGCTGGTGGATCACCTGAGGTCAGGAGTTCGAGACCAGCCTGGCCAACATGGTGAAACCTCGTCTCTACTAAAAATACAAAAATTTGCCGTTTGGTGGCAGGCGCCTGTAATCCCAGCTACTGGGGAGACTGAGGCAGAAGAATCGTTTGAAACCTAGGAGATGGAGGTTGCAGTGAGCCAAGATCATGCCACTGCACTCCAGCCTGGATGACAGAACAAGGCCCTGTCTCAAAAAAAGAAAGAAAGAAAGAAAGAAAATAATTGCCCATACTTTTCATGTTCAGATACAGGCAGGTGATTTTCAAAAGCCTAGTTTTTTCAAACAAATGTGGTCTGGCCTCCTACTGAAGAGTTGTCTTATGTACAATAGTTCATTACCATGAAAAATAAGAAAGTGACTAATTGCAAAATTATCTTTTATGTTCAACTTTCTAAAGATAGATTTGTCAAAGAGCAGCACAGGAGATTTTTAATAGCTTTATGTACTGTTTTGTAATCGGTTCATTTTGTAACTCTGTACCTTATTAGGGATAAAGCATGCAAAGCTTTGTACTATCACCGAGAATACCAAGTCTGCAGGCTGTAATCTGGGGTCAGGGAAGGAATAAAGGGAAAAATAAAAAAAGAATCCCTAGTAAGGGTCAGTCCCAGGAACAACTTGCCAAAGACTGGCTATCTAACATCAGTGCCTGCCTGTTTGTGTATCTGGGCAGCATCATGTACACATTTCTTTTGGTTGGGTGCCCATAGAGTGAGGACCCTGCGGTAGGTCATGAGAAATCAAAGTCATGGTCTCAGACTCAGTGGTGTCTACATGATTTTATGTGAACTGGACAAGAGGTTGAATGGAATCTAGTCTTTTATTAAGATATTTGGGCAAACCAAGCATTTGTCCCCATTTCCATCCTCAGTTTAGTTTTTCCCAGTAGGAAACTGAAACACAGAAAACTCAAGGGCAGAGTCTATCAGATTCCTGAAATTCCAGTTCATTTGTAAGTCACTGATAGGCGACAATACATATACATATGAAATACATCTATTATAAAATATATGATGAGGTACTTTAAGAAAATGCTTTTGGCATATTACAAAGTCATTATTATTGTTTACATCTATTTATCATTTTGCTTGTTGAACACGATGCTCTTGAAGACTGACACCACTGTAATCTAATTGTGAGAAACACACCACTGGTATCTTAGCTGGGGAAATGTTCCATCTTACTCCTAAACATACTAGTTCTGGTCCTGATGGGAGGATCTTTTGGAAGAAGCATCGTTTTGTTTCCCACCCTGGGTCTTATATCCACAAGAGTGAAGGGAAGACCCACACAACAATATGGAGAGTTCCATTCATTTACACATTTCTGCCTCCTCTCTCTCATCCACAAGGAGATACCTGTTCAATAGTAAAGTTCCTCTCTATTGGCATATAACAAATAATATAGCAGTGTAACCAGCAATAGGAAAAAAACATACAAAATCATCCATAAAACTTAGTATCTTGCCAGCAATAAGGAATGGCATGATAAATTATGGAACATCACTAAAATGGCATATTACACAATCGTTCATTGATAATTAGAAATACTACATAGAAACATGGAAACATGCATGGAATATAATTCAAAGAGAAAAGAAAAACACACTATTATAATATGTATGCTGCATTTGCATGTGGAGGAAGCCTGGAAGATGATATACCAAAATAGAAACACAGTAGTTGCTTTAGGATAGTGAGGTTGTGGGTTTTCAGAAACCTTTTCTTTACTGTGATAAAATACTAGTATTAATAACAGTGAATTCACCAAATAAATGATGTTATGGGTACAGAGGGAGGCTATTAATAAATAAGTAGAGCTTGGACATTGCAAAAGAGAAAAAACATTTAACAGAATGAATCTTCCTTTCCTACATTTGTCATCTCAGTGGATATTAAGATCCATAGTATTGAAAACATTTTCAAAGCAGCTGCTTAGCAGGGTTTGGAAGAGAGCCTGAACTTAACTGTATCTGGATTTTGTTTGCCAAGATGACTGCAACAGAAAATAAATCTTAAAACAGATGTCTAATATGCTCTCGTTTGAGTATCATGTCTGAATTCTCACTTAAGAATCAAGAAGCAGTTTGGAAAAACAACCCATGTGCACAATAAGTAGGCATACAGAGCAAGAGAAATTCAGTAGAAAAATTTTGAAAATAAAATGCCTATTCAGAATCAAGTCGCAATGTCTACTTGGATTAACAGCAAAATAAAGTAATGTCTACTTAAATTTATATCTGTCTAGGAGCTCTTGAAGGCTACCAGGAACAATCCTCATGTCTATTATATTGATAAGAACAATTTGCTAAAACTGTGTAACTCATCAGAATGAGTTGCTCTCTTTTCCTCTAAAGGGCTGAGACACTTTTTTTCTCTTTCTCTTCTACCTCTGTTCAAAAAAATGTGGCTTTTCCCCTTTTTTTGTGTATATATATTTTTTGACTTTGGAAGTTTAACTCTGAATAGTACTTACAAGTATTGATTTGGGGCACCAGGTTACCTTGTTGCATATAGAAAGGAGTTGGTTAATATGTTAGGAGAAATTCACACACACAATCATACATTTTATTCTCACTGGTCAAAGTTAAAACCTCTCACACCAACATTTGCAAACCTTTATTTTAGCACAGGAAAATATTTCCTCAAATGCATACTTAAATACCTTAAGTATCTTAAGTAGGTAATGGGAGAAGAAACATGAAATAGGTTTTCTTCTGAAGTAGAACTTGAAAACAAGATAAAATACCTTATATCTCTAAACTAGTAGTTGACCCTCAATTTGGAAAGAGACAGAATGATATAAAGGAGTTTTAAATGGTTCCAAGAAATCAGAAAAGTAACTTTTCCAACCCCCAAACCATACCTGACACTGCAAGCATCTTCTTTCAGAAAATTGCAGCATTATTGTCTAAGATTTGCTGAGTCTCTGTGAACATCTCTCTGTCTCACTATCTCCTCATCTCTAACGGTGGCAAACTTCTTAAAGGAAGTTTTCATTCCTAAAGAGTTATTGCATAGTTCTCACCATTATAAAAATATGATTCTCTGTTTTCAAAATGCATTACAATTATTAAAAGTTACTGTGATTTTAGGAAACTATCTCTCCCCATCCCAAATCCAAATGTCAATCACATTTAGTGCAAGGTTGTGTATTAGATTACTTTGAGTTATACCAACATTTTAAGTTTTCTCCTCAAAAATATTTTACTCTGATTATGTTCATTTTATTCTCAGGAATGCATTGTGTTGAATAATCTGCTTTCATACATCTACAAAATTCTTTTTTGAGTAGTAGCTGTGCAATGTATGTCACATAATTATCATAAATTTCATAACTTTGGCATGCATTTTGCTGTAACTCATTTCCTGGCAATATATAAAATGCCTTTGACATAACACCATAGAATATTTACACTGAAAATGAATGATAGAAATAATCAAGTGTAAATCAGTTCCCCCTCCCTTCACAGAGTAGGAAACTCAGGTGTAAGAAGATAAAATTTGCCCAAGATCATGCATCTCATTTCTGATATTTAAGCCCTACTAAAATAATTACATATTTTTGATCTTGAACTTGACTTGAAAATTATGATTTTTTAAAAATACCATGATTCTTAAGACAGAACAATTGCTATACTTAAGAAAGAATTGCAGAGTTGGAATTGAAATACACAAAACATATATGCCCAAATTTTTGTCCTCAATTCCCCTTTTGGGAGAAAGTGACTAAGACTATATGATCACTTAAAATGATCATTCTTTGAAGGATACAAAATACTTCTGATCTTCAAGATGAACTCTATCACCATTCCTATATATAATTCATATTTTTCTTCACCGGGGATCAAATGGCATTCTGCTTGATAGCCTTCTTATCTATTGCAGTTGAGCAAGTGAAATAGAAAGCACATTTTAGGATATCATTGTGATTTGTTGTTTTCCTCAGCAGCAAAAATGTATGAAATAAAGAGACTTTTATCATGTAATGTTCACTGATCAGGTGAGCTTAATAAAATCTAGGCTTCAGTTAAATTTAGTAGATGAGTTCTTGTTTCACTGGCATTTACAGTCTGTGAGAGGAGTTGAACAAATGTACAAATAATGACACTTCCAAAGGTTTAACCATTGCATTTCATACAAATTATGTGCAATGTTCAAGGCTAATGTGTAGACTTTATAGTTTTCAGATTTTAAAAGGTATGTAGGAATGGTAATTATCAGTACATGTCTGCCAATGTTAAAGACTTGGATATATATGTAAAATTCATTTTGTCTTGATGAAAACAAATTCCAATCTATGAAAGTATCATTTCAAATAATGTTGCACCTGGTAAGGAAATAATACATGAATGATAGTAAATGTTTAGAAAAAACCCATTTCAGATAAAGATGCAATAAATGGATTTAAACGAAGAGTTTAAGAAGTAACATAGCCATCTAAAAATGTTAACTTTTCACATAGCTGCTCACACTTATTTTACTTTATTAGAGACCATGATCTTGTCAGACAATAATGCCACAAGACTCAGTTACATAATCCAACTCTCTTTAACTACCCTTTTCCCAAAAACCATCCCATCTAAGGAGGGTTTAACTCTTGTATCTTGATTTTTTTTTCTTTCAGCAAATACCAAGTGTGATAAGCTTTTAACCAGGCAAAAATTACTTTATATAACGGATCATTAATTTTATTTTCAACTTATTCAAACATAAAGCAGCTCAGTTTCCCTGTGGTCAGCTCATGCATCATTTGATGCCTCACATCTGCAGCCCACTCTAGATTTATCTTGCTCTCAGCTGGTTCTGGATAGCACTTTTTGGGTTATTTTACAAAACATTTAACATTGTGTAAATTGTTAAGAAGCAACTGGAGTAGCTTCCTTTCCTACCCACTGCCTCTTCCAGTGTCCTTAACCCTCATCGCCCTTCCCTAAAATGTGTCCCCAACA
This sequence comes from Homo sapiens, assembly GCF_000001405.40. Taxonomy (NCBI): domain Eukaryota; kingdom Metazoa; phylum Chordata; class Mammalia; order Primates; family Hominidae; genus Homo; species Homo sapiens. The sequence continues at coordinate 32,785,051 of NC_000009.12, read as the reverse complement.
TGCCTATTTACATGACTCTCGGGTACCAGAGGTTATCACACCCATCACATACCAGGTCAATTTCTAACAGTGTGAAGGCTCTCCAAGCAGAGCAATTTGCTTCCACGGGGAGCTGGGCTTAGTCATATTCTATCAATCCAGCCACCTTTGTAGGCAGAGATTAGACGATGGTCTCGTGGTCCCACCTGCCTTGTATCTGATTGATATAACAACAGTATCTGTCATACGGGCTGTTCTGCTTGTAGGAGCAAACGATGATACTGTCCTGGGGCACAAAGAAGATGCTATCCTCAGGCTCAGGGCACTCAGATCTGTCCCTTGCTGAGCACTTGACGTCCAAGGCACTGTAGGTGAGGGAACTGCCCGAGGGGCAGTAGCCGTCCAGGTATCTGGACGTCTCCTCCTGATGCCCATTCTGGACGAGGCTCTGGCATTCTCCTTCCTCCGTGGGTGTGGGGCTGTTGATGGAGCTGGCCACGGACACCTCACCCTGGCTTTGTGGGGGAGGCTTCCCCCTGAGGCCCGCCTTCTTAGCCAGCTCATCTGAGCTCCCCTTGCCGGATTCTAGGTCTGAAGGGGTCCTCAGCAGCTCTACCACCTCCTTGTCTTTGGGTTTCCGGAAGCAGGGCAATTTGCGGACCCACAGCAGCTCGTTCTCTGGCCACTTGGTGCATCCCTCGGTTTTCCTGGCCAGGGCAATGGCTGCGATGCCTGGTAGGCAGATGGCTGGCCCGATGGCCAGGAGGGGGATGTTTCCCAAAGTCTCCCCTTTCATCCCAGAGACGGTGAACATGAAACCAAAGACGAGGAAGACACTGACCAGGGCCACCACCAGCCCAGTCCTCGGGTTAATGTCATCAGGCCGCATGTTTCACTCCATCCAGGTTGGGGGCTGCTTGCTGACCAGGGAGCAGCGTTCCTCTATTCTGTCAGAGATGAAACCACAGTGCGTTAAAAAAAAATCCAAGTCAAGCTCCCACCCATCAACTCTTGTCTTTCTCTTGCCCTTTGTCTCCGACTTGCTTCTTGACTTTCAGTCTTGATCTCTGTCTCTGTATCTCTCTTGCAATCTCTCTATCTCTCTCTCTGCGTTTCTCTTGCAATCTCTCCCTGTTTCTATTTCTACTCTTTCTCTCCGTCCCCTCTCCCTCCCTCCCTTTCTTGTGCCCTCCCTCTCTTCCTCTCACTATTGCAACCTCCGTCTCTCTCTCATATCAACACGCTCCGGCTGGGGTCAACGAGGTACCTGAGGTTTCCTGCCCTCTCCAGGAAGTAGGGAAAGAAGCCAGGCTGTCTCCTCAGAAGCCCCCACAGCAGCTGCCCCCTCGGCTCGCTCCCTTGGTTCTGGGAGGAAAGCCTGGTTTCCCCCACGGACTCTGCATCGGGGAGGTGGAACCTGGGAGAGCGGCTCTCCCAGCAGTGCCCGTCGGTCCCGGTGCTGTGCAAGCGGAGCCCGGCGCCAGCTCAGCGCGCAGAGCGCGGGGCGCGGGAGGAGGAGGGAGCACTGAGTCTGGGAAAGAGGGGACGCGGCGCGAGCCTGGCCTTGTTACATCACTGTCAGAGCAGGCTCAGAAACGCAGACAGACGCGCGGGGGCGCGAGGGGGTCAGCCCCAGAGGGAGGCCACCCGGCGGCAGGCGCTGCCCGGGGTCTCGTCGGGGCTGCTGGGAGCGGCCGGGGTTTGTGCCGCCGCCGTTCCGGAGGCTGAGCAGGGCGACCTGACCCGCTTCCGTGCCCGGGAAGGGTCTGGGGCGCGAGGCTGCCAGTGGCCGGAGTCGGAAACCAGGGTCGGTTTGCCCACGGGGCAGCCGTTGCAATATCCGAGCTCGGGCTCCCAGTCCGGGATCCGAGGAGTTAGGTGCCAGCTGGAGATGTCCCTCCGGGACCCGCACCCTTCTCCAGTTACAAATCCGGGTGACTGACGGCAGGCCCAGGGGCTCCCCGACCGCCCTTCTCTCAACCCCTCGACTCGGGGCGCGGGGGGGTGTGTGTCCCTCGGGGAGCCGGTGCCCGAGGACTGCTTTGGTCCCGGCTCTGGGCGGTGGCGGCGCGCGAAAGCGCTCTTGCAGCGGAGCGACTGCGCCGCGGGAGCGCACAGAACCAGCGCCCAGGCGGAGTGGGTTAGTGGTGAGGGGTGGGTGCCAGGCTAGTCCGGGCCTTGGGGGAGTCCCCGGAGTCCCCGTGGCTTTCCAGCTCCAGGCTCGGGAGAGGGTGACCTTGGAGCCGGGATTTCACTTCTACAGCGCTGTGGTGCCGGGGGGACAGGGAGAAGGGCTCCCTGGCCCCCAGTTCACGAGGAGAAGGGGCCTTGACCGGTCAGGACCACCACCCTACGACGCCGCTCAGCTCTGGGCGATTCTCTCCTCCCTTGCTGAAGCAGGCATTGAGAGCCTGCGTTCCTCCCGCTCTGGTAGGCAGGGGCAGATGGATTCCTCTGGCCCCGGGGGGCAAGACTGGCTTTGGCTGTGATTCTTCAACAGGGCTGCCCATTTAGGATAGAGGAGGGCGGTGGAGAACAGGTTGATGAGCGGTACATGCTTTCATGTCAAGACACTGATTTACTGGAAAGAATTTTCACATCCAGGCCTTCCCCAGTTAAACTAGCTGTATATTCCTGGGCAAGTGACTTAACCTCTCTGAGAATCAGTCGTCCTATCTGTAAAATGAGATTAATACCAAATATATGAGGAAACATTGTGAGGATTAAATAAACGTAAAGTTCCTAGCACAATGCTTGGTACATAGTCTGTGTACAAAAATTACACACACATGCACACACGTACACATGTATATGTATATATATTTGTCATCATAATTAGTGTCTTCATCATGTATGACAGGAGCCAAACAAATCATAAAGGCTGTGAGACTAAGGACTTTTTATCCACTAGGCAATGAAGAACGCTTGATGTATTTTAAGCAAAGATCAATACAAAAACATTCCAGTTTGACTGAAAGGGGCGGCAGGTGAGAGCATAGGTTGGAGCTGGTAAGTCTGGAAGCCGGGAGTCTTGTTCAGTAAGCTGAGAAGTTCAGTAAGCCGGGCAAGACATGATGTGGCCTTAACAATGTCGGGCTGGTAGAGGAGTTGGAAGGAAGCAGATCTGAGGGTATTTAAGGGTTGAGTGAAGTGTCTTGGAGCACAGTGAAGTGAGATGAAGGGAGGAGCCAAGGTCAACTCCCAACTTTCTCACTTTCAAAGGGGTGGATCAGGAAGCAGATCCTTCTCATTTTCCTCTCCATCATCTATTTTGTATCTTTTGTACTCATGACCATTAGACAGCTGCTGCACCTTTAGGCATAGAATCATTTAGGAGGGAAGAAAGGAGAAAATGCAAAGGGTAAAAGTGAGGTGCCAGTTCTTTGGCCACTTGTATGAGGACAATAATAATTTTCCTGGCAGCCCCCCCAAGTAGATAGGCATCTGCCTGTAATTGACCAGAGATGGATGAGCTTTGGGATACAAAGGTACCTGGGAAATTGTTGTTTATTTATTTACCAGATCCACTGATGGTCTGAAAAAAGGGTTTTGTTTAAAAGGAGCAGCATACTGCTCCTTTTAAATACTGGGGAAGCAGCTCGCTACGTGTGTTACAATTATTGAAAAGTTTTCCCTTCTTAAAACCGTTTCTTTTACTGACACCATTCTATCCTAGTTTTCTTCCTATCTCCCTGGTCACTTATTTGTAGGCTACTTTATAAACTCCTATTTTATTTATTTTTTATTTTAACAAACCCCTTAGATACTGATGTTCTGTGGGTTCTATTCTTGCTTCTCCCCTTTCTTGATTTCTCTTCTCTTTCTTCTCATTCTGTAATAGCCTCGAACAGCCTGAATAGGCTGATGACTCCCAAAACTCTCTCTTTAGCTTTGTCATTTTCCCTCAGCCCCAAATCTATAATATCCAACTGTCTGCTTGATATCTCTAATCTGGATGGTATGCAGACACCTCACACTTGCTAGGGACTTTAGACTTCAGGGATTTAGACTTTAGTGATTTTGATCTATGGGGATTTCAACATTAGGGATTGTGGGGTTTGGGATTGTGTCCTTTGGGATTATGTTCCAAACCCAACCTCATCATTCCTTCCATTTGCCAACTGAGAATATTTGCAATTGTTCTCTACTCCTTTCTCTCCCTAACAGCCTACGTCCAGTAAGTCACCCAAGTCATTATAGTTTTACCTCCTAAGTCCTTTGATTATCCCCTCTTATGGTGGTGACCCTAGGAAAATAACTTTACCTTCCTGTGTTTCAACTTCTTAATGAAACAAAGACTTTGAATGAGGTGCTAGGTAAGATTCATTTTAGCTCTAATGTTCCTTGGTTCTCTTGTAGTTACTTCTGCAGGGCTGAGCTGATGTCAGTGTTGTGGACGTGTTTTGACAATAGTGCTGGAAATAAAGTTGGGTCCTAAAGAAGCAAGATTGCTGAGTGGAGACCTCCTGTCACTTGTACAAACATCCAGTTCTTTTCTGATTTTTAAGCCATGCAGTTTATCTACTTAGGCATTAGATAAGACCCGGGCATAAAACCACAGGAAACTTCAATTGCTGTTTAATTATAAGCTTCATTTTCAAAGCAATTCCTTCTTAGAGGTAATTTCAGATGGTCTTTGAACAGCAGGTATACTTGCCCAAGTCAGCAGCAACAGTGGGTAGGGATTGGAGACATCACTCAGGGTCACAATACTCAGAGACAGATAAGGTGTTCTTAGTATTTAATTTCTTGCCTGTATAGTCTGGATTTTAAAACCTTAAGCAGTTCTTGCAATCCTGTAAGCATATACAGCCATGTACAAAGGCTTTTTCTTAGAAGAGCAAGGAATTCAGGCTGAAATGAGACTTTGGCATGTGGGTGTTTCAGAAGGAAACAGAACCTTTTATTTCTGAAATTATAGAAATCATGGCATGCTAGCCTTTGAAGATACCCTGTAGTACATCTACTCCAACTTCTTTATTGTACAGATGAAGTCTAGAAAGGCTTCATTCATCCAATATTACTTGAGTATTTATTGTGTGCTTAGCATTGTGCTGGGTGCCGGGGGTACAAATCAAATATGACATGGTCTGCCTTTATAGAACTCACACCCTCAGAGCAAGTTGTGTGTATGTCAGGACTGGACAGATTATGTGGTGACAACAAAAGACCTCTAGTTCTACAAAAGCTACATGCTCATAATATTATACATGTCTGTAATGAGCCAGCTGCTGCCTCTCTCCATGTCATCTTCACTCTGATGTTCAGATTGACAGAGCAGCTTCCATTTAGGACACGGCCGATCTTGTAGCAGAGGGACAAAAGAGCAGGACAAACCACATGCTGGCTGGTAAAGTGTATTCCCTAGACTTTGCCATCACCCCCATCTCTCAGGTTCCTCCTCCTTTTGCTTCACTTCTTCCTTCCAGCTCAGCTATCCAACCCTAAAGGGATAATAGAGACCAGGCCTGGTGGCTCACGCCCATAATTCCAGCACCTTGGGAGGCCGAGGTGGGCAAATCACCTGAGGTCAGGAGTTCAAGACCAGCCTGGCCAACATGGTGAAACCCCATCTCTACAAAAAATACAAAAATTAGCAGGTGTGGTGGCATGTGCCTGTAGTCTCAGCTACTTGGGAGGTTGAGGCTGGAGAATTGCTTGAGCCTGGAGATGGAAGTTGCAGCGAGCCAAGATTGAGCCATTGCACTCCAGCCTGGGTGATAGAAGGAGACTCCATCTCAAAGGATAGTAGAGTTTTTGGAACTTCTGAAACTTTGAAGGCTAAAGATGGAAATTTTTGTCTAGTACCATACAAATTCTGTAGTTGTTTTCTCTGAGACTGAAAGATGTTTCACTTTCTGCTGAAGACTCATCTAACATCAATGTCTTCCTCCCTGGTGTGGGCTCAGTCCTTTCCTAGTGTGATGGAAGGAGCAGACAGACCTGGAGGTACAGTAAATGTGATGGCCAAATAAAGCCTGGGGCTGTTTTAGCCTGTTTCTTCTCTAGACTTTTCCCAATGTCTGTCTGCCCTCTTCTAGCCTTTCTGTCTCTTCTGGGTTTGAATTTTTAGGTCTGGAGCCTGAAAACCCATGAAACATGGATCCTGCCTACCTTCTCTCTGTATTAGGAATGCTCTTTTGGTTGTAGTAACATAAACTACAGCTAGCCTGAGTCAGAAAAAAAAAAAGAGGCCTTTTTTTGGGACTTTTCTGAGAGCTCAAGGGCAGGAATGTAGCTGAACGTCTGAAAAGAGTCAAAATTGGAGACTCAAACATTGCTGGGTATTTCTCTCAGATGCTTACTTCTCTTCTCTCTGTGTCTACTTTGTTGGTCTCTTTCTTTGTACAGATTCATTTCTTCCCTTTATCTGGTATCCATGTGGAAAAGCATGGCACCAGTAGCTCCAGTGTGTCCATGTTACCAATCTGGTCACCTAGAGGCAGACGAGGTGGTGATCTCTTAATTTTAAAGTCCCAGGGAAAGAATTCATTGTATCATTTTGGGACAGGTGCCCATTCACAGTCCAGTCAGCTGTTAGGTGACAGAGCTGCCAGGAACTCCTTTATCGTAACAATAGGATAGGAAGGAAGTAGTGGCCAGAGGAAAAGAGTGGAGTGATTTTCTGGTGGCTGAGCTGTCAACTGAAGATGTACCTGGTGTATATTCTGCTACTTAACATCCTTCTAGAGTTTAAACTCTTTGAGAGCAGAATCCATAGCTCCAAATTTCATATAGGGATTGGGGGCATATCTCATAACAAGACAAATTATAAGCATAATATGCTCTGCTAAAGGAGAGTATCAACAAGAAATGTATAGAGCTGAAGCCTAGAAAACTAGGAGGTTTTATTGAGCTACATTAAATAAAAATGGAATAAATGGCATATTTATTAGTGGAAAGACTGACTATGCTAAAGATTCCAACTCTTCCCCATTTAATTTATATGTTTAGCACAAGTCCAATTAAAATCCCAAATGGAAATTTTCTTGGACCTTGAAAAAATGACTTTTAAAGTTCATCTGGGAAATCACACATATAAATAGTAAAAATGGTTTGAGAGAGAAAAGCAATAAAGTCAGGGCTTTATTAACCACCTGTGAAACTAAATTTAATCACTACAATAATTAAAGCTGTCTGGTATGGTGCAAAAAAAGTCACACTTATCAATAGAGTAGAAGGGAGATGTTGGAAATAGTACTATGTATTTATTAGAATTTAGTTCAAGATAAAGGAAGCATTACAGACCCAATGGTGTTGAGAAGATTGACTATTTTGGAAAAAAGATCTTGTTTTGGGATGACATTAGGACCATTCTCCACCCCTTGCCCCCAGAGAAAGATAAAATTAAAATATTGTGACTGTTGTCTACTGTTCTTGAGTCAGTTATATACATATTTGTTTCCTCTTTTTTTTCCTGAGACAGAGTCTTGCTCTGTCATCCAGGCTAGAGTGCAATGGTGCCGTCTCAGCTCACTGCAACCTCTGCCTCCTGGGTTCAAGCGATTCTCCTGCCTCAGCCTCCCAAGTAGCTGGGATTACAGGTGTGTGCTACCACATCTGGCTGATTTTTGTATTTTTAGTAGAGACAGGGTTTCACTATGTTGGCCAGGCTATTCTCGAACTCCTGACCTCGTGATCCACCTGCCTCAGCCTCCCAAAGTGCTGGGATTACAGGTGTGAGCCACTGTGCCTGGCCCATATTTGTTTCATTTTTAAGAAAGATAGATTACAGATGGCTGGTGGTGGTGGTGGCTCACACCTGTAATCCCAGCACTTTGGGAGGCTAAGGTGGGTGGATCACTTGAGGTCAGGAGCTCGAGACCAGCCTGGCCAACATGGTGAAACCCCGTCTCCACTAAAAAAAAAAAAAAAAATTAGCCGGTTGTGGTGATGGGTGCCTGTAGTCCCAGCTACCCAGGAGACTGAGCCATGAGAATTGCTTGAGCCTGTGAGGCAGAGGTTGCAGTGAGCCAAGATCATGCCACTGCACTCCAGCCTGGGCAACAAAGCGAGACTCTGTCAAAAAAAAAAAAAAAAAGAAAGAGAGAGAGAGAAAGAGAGAAAGAAAGAAAGAAGACAGCAAAGATGGAGAAGAGGCAAATTCCCCAGTGTCTCATACCGAAAGCCTGTTTGTTAGGAATTGTGCTGGGACATTGCCTGTGTTTTCACTAAAGAACAAAGAAAAACAAGTTTTAATATTCTGAATGAGAGTTATAATTGGATATAGTCATGGGTTTACAATTTCTGCTTCAGGGGAGTAAATAAAAAGGATTATACAATGGTCTCCTTTTGAAACAGTCCATTACTTCTGAAATGACCAAGAAGCTTGACTATGGGTTAGGGACATGCACCCTTCATCTGCCTTACCCACCAAGTGAACCTTGCTTGTCTGGGAGCCCAACTGGGCAGTGAACAATTCACAACTTTGGAGGAAGGTAGGAAGGCATGCAGGGTAATGTATTAGTCAGGGTTCTCCAAAGAAACAGGTATATTTTTAAAAATTGGCTATGTGATTGTGGAAACTGTGTGATTCCAAAATAAGTTGGGGAAGCCAGCAGGCTGGAGACTCAAGAGGGAGAGAGGGAGCTGCAGTTCGAGTCCAAAGGCAGTCTGCTGTGGAACCAGGAAGAGCAGATGTTGCAGATAAAATCTGAAGGCAGTCTGCTGGAGAATTCCCTTTTGCCCTGGGGGAGGTCAGCCTTTTGTTCTATTCAGGCCTTCACATAAGTGGATGAGGGCCATTCACATTATGGAGGGTAATCTGCTTTACTCAAAGTCCTGTGATTTAAATGTAAAATCGTCGAAAAACACTCTTGCCAAACATTCACAGTAATGCCTGACCAATATTTGGGCACTGTGTCCTAGCCAATTTGACATATAAAATTAACCATATTATCTATTAATTACTTAGATAATATCTGAATGATGCCTGGCATTGCTTTGAATAGGAATTAGAAAGTAGTGAAAATTCCTTTGACTGTTCCATGTTTCTTAGTGCCTCCAACTTCTCTATTGGCACCTTTTTAAAAAGAGAGACGGGGGTCTTGCTCTGTTGTCCAGGCTGGAGTGTAGTGTCTATTCACAGGCATGATCACAGTGTTTTACAGTATCAAACTCCTGGGATCAAGTGATCTTCCTGTCTCAGACTCCCAAATAGCTAGGACTACAGGTGTGTGCCACCATGGGTGGCTTCTATTGGCATATACATTTTAAAGTATCGACCAGCTTAAATATAGGTCATTTGAAATTAGTCACCCTGAAGAACAAAAAGAAAAGGAATGAAAAAGAATAAAGAAAGTCTATGGTACTTATAGGACACCATCAAATTAATCAATACATGCATTATAGGAGTACACGAAGGAGCAGAGAAAGAGAAGGGAGCAGAAAGCTTATTTAAAGAAATAATGATAGAAAAACTCCTCAAATCTGGGGAGGGAAATGAATATCCAGATTCATGAAGCCCAGAGAACTCCAATTAGATTGAACATAAATAAATCATTGCCAAGACACATTATAATCAAATTGTCAAAAGTTGAAGATGAGAATTTCAAAGCAGCAGGAGAAAAGTGATTCATCACGTACAAGAGAACCTGCAAAAGACTATCAGCAGATTTCTTAGCAAGAACTTGCAGGCCAGTAGAGAGTGGGATGATATATTCAAAGTGCTGGATTAAAAAAAACACCCTGCCAATCAAAAATGCTTTAACCAGCAAAGCTCTTCAGAAATTAAGGACAGATAAAGACTTTCCCAGACAAACAAAAACTGAGGGAATTCATTACCACTAGACCTGCCTTGTAAGAAATGCTAAAGGGAATTCTTCAAGTTGAAATAAAAGGATGAAACATGAAAAAATATGAAAGTATAAAACTTACTAGTAAAAAAATATATAGTCAGATCCAGACAACTCAAATATTATAATGGTGGTGTATAAATCACTTTTAATTCTAATGTGAAAGTTAAAGGACAAAAGTATTAAAAATAATTATAGCTACAGTAACTTATTAGTGGATACAGAATATTAAGAAATGAGATGCAAATTGTGACAACATTAACATAAAATATTGAGGGTGGAGTAAAAGTATAGTTTTTGTATGTGATCGAATTTAAGTTGCTATCAGGTTAAAATAGACTATTATAACTATAAGCTGTTTTATGTAAGCCTTATGGTAGTTACAAAGAAAACAATATCTGTAGTGGATAATCAAAGATAAAGAGAAGGAAATTGAAACACACTATCACAAAAAATTATCAAACCACAAGGGAAGACAGCAAGAAAGGAATAAAGAAAGAAACTATAAAACAGAAGACAATAAACAAAATGACAACAGTAAGTCCTTACCTATTAATAATTACTTTAAATGTAAATAGATTAAATTCTCCAATCGAAAGGCATAGAGTGGCTGAATGGATTAGAAAAAAAAAATCTCACCAAAATCCAAATATATGATGCCTACAAGAGACTCATTTTAGCTTTAAGGACACATATAGGCTGAAAGTAAAGAGAGAGAAAAAGATGTCCCATGCACATGGTAACAAAAAGAGAGCAGAGGTGGCTATACTTATATCATACAAAATAGACTTTCAGTCTATTTTGAAATTTGTCAGAAGAGACAAATAAAAAGGTCAATTCATCAAGAGGGTATAACAATTGTAAATACATATGCACCCAACATTGGAGAATCTAAATATATAAAGCAAATATTAACACAAGTGAAAGGAGAAATACATAGCAATACAATAATAGTAAGAGTCTTTAATACCCCATTTTCAACAATGGATATATTATCCAGACAAAAAAAATCAAAAAAGAATCAGCAGACTTGAACAACATTATAGACCAAATAGACCTAACAGACATATATAGATCTTTCCATCCAACAGCAGCAAAACACACATTCATCTCAAGTACATGTGGAACATTCTCCAGGATATATCATACCAAGCCACAAAACAAATCTTAACAAACTTAAGAAGACTGAAATCATATGAGATATCTTTTCGAGCCACAGTGATGTGAAACTAGATATCAGTAACAGAAGGAAAGTTAGAAAATCCATAAATACATGGAAATTAAACCATGTGCTCTTGAATAGAATGGATCAAAGAAGAAATCAAGAGAGAAGTTAGGACCGGGTGTGGTGGCTCACACCTGTAATTCCTAGCACTTTGGGAGGCCAAGGTGGGCGGATGGCTTGGGCTTAGGAATTTGAGACCAGCCTGGGCAACATGGTAAAACCCTGTCTCTACAGGTAGCACGTGCCTGTAGTCTCACCTACTTTGGGAGGCTGAGGCGAGAGGATTGCTTGAGCTGGGGAAGATTGCTTGAGCCTGGGAAGTTACGGTGAGCCAAGATTGCACCACTGTACTCCAGCCTGGGCAACAGAGTGAGACCTTGTCTCAAAAACAAAACAAAACAAAAACAAACAAAAATAAAGGGAAGTCAAAAAGTATCTTGAGACAAAAATAACACACATGCCAAAATTTATGGCATGCAGCAAAAGCAGTGCTGAAAGTGAATTTTATAGATAAGTGCCTACATTAAGAAAAAATAAAGATCTCAAATAAACAACCAAACTTTACATGTCAAAGAAAATTAACAAATTAAGTCTAAAGTTAGCAAAAGGAAAGAAATAGTAAAGAAAAGAAATAAATTAGAGACTAGAAAAACAACACAAAAGATGAACAAAACTAAGAGTTGGGTTTTTTTGAAAAGATAAACAAAATTGACAAACCTTTAGGTAGACTACTAAGTAAGAAGAGAAGAATCAGATAAATAAAATTATCAATGAAAGAGGAATATTAAAACTGATGCCCACAGAAATACAAAGGGTCATAAGAGCCTACCATGAACAGTTGTATGCCAACAAATTGGATGACCTGAAAGAAATGAATAAATCTCTAGAAACATACAACCTACCGGACAGGCTCGTGCTTGCAATCCCAGCACTTTGAGAGGCCAAGGCAGGAGGATTGCTTGAGTCCAAGAGTTTGAGACCAGCCTGGTTAATATAGCAACACACTGTTTTCCACACACAAAAAAATTAGCCATTCCTGCTGAAGGATTCCAAAAAGTTGAGGAGGAGGGGCTCCTACTCAACCCATTCTATGAGGCCAGCATCATTCTGATAACAAAGCCTGGCAGAGACCCAACAGAAAAAGAAAACTTCAGGCCGATATCCTTGATGAACATAGATGCAAAAATCCTCAACAAAATACTAGCGAACCAAATCTAGCAGCATATCAAAAAGCCAACCCCCTACAATCGAGTAAGTTTTATCCCTGGGATACAAAGTTGGTTGAACACACACAAATCAATAAATGTGATTCATCACATAAACAGAACTAAAAACAAAAACCGCATGATTATCTCAATAGATGCCGGAAAGACTTTTGATAAAATTCCACATCTCTTCATGTTAAAAACCCTCAATAAACTAGGCACTGAACGAACAAACTTCAGAAACAAGAGCCATCTATGACAAATCCATAGCCAACATCATACTGAATGGGCAAAAGCTGGAAGCATTCCCCTTAAAAATCAGAAAAAGGCAAGGATGCCCTCTCTCACCACAGTTATTTAACATAGTACTGGAAGTCCTGGCCAGAGCAATCAGGTAAGATAAAGAAATAAAAAGCATCAAAATAAAAAAAGTTAAACTATCCATTTGCAGAGACATGATTCTATATGTAGAAAACTCCATAGTCTCTGGTCAAAAGCTCCTTGATCTGATAAACAACTTCAGCAAAGTTTCAGATACAAAAATGAATGTATAAAAATCAGTAGCATTCCTATACACCAAAACAACATCCAAGCTGAAAGCCAAATCAGGAATGAAATTCCATTCACAACTGACATAAAAATAATAAAATGCCTAGAAACACAGCTAACAAGGACCGTGAAAGATTTCTACAGCAAGCATTATAAAACACTGCTCAGAGAAATCAGGGATGACACAAACAAATTAAAAAACATTCCATGCTCATGGATAAGAAGAATCAACATCATTAACATGGCCATACTGCCTAAAGCAGTGTACAGATTCAACACTATTCCTTTGAAACTGCCAATGAAATTCTTCACAGAAGTAGAAACAATGATTTTAAAATTCATTTGAAACTACCAAAGAGCTTAAATAGCCAAGGCAATTTTAAGCTAAAACAAAAAAAAAACAAAAAAAACAAAAAAAACAGACCTGGAGGCATCACATTACTTGACTTCAAACTATATTCAAGGCTACAGTAACCAAAACAGCACAGCATTGGTACAAAAACAGACACATAGACCAATGGGACAAAATAGCCCAGAAATGATGCCATACACCTACAACTATCTGATCTTTGAAACTTCACAGAAACAAGCAATGGAGAAAGGATTCCATATTCAATAACTGGTTAGCCATATGCAGAAGATTGAAGCTGGACCCCTTCCTTACACCATATACAAAAATCAGCTCAAGGTGGATTAAAGACTTAAAAGTAAACCTGAAAACTATAAAAACCCTGAAAGATAACTTAGGAAATGCCATTCTGGACATAGGAACGGGCAAAGATTTCATGATGAAGATGCCAAAAGCAATTGCAACGAAACCAATAACCGACAAATGGGACCTAATTAAACTGAAGAGTTTCTGCAGAGCAAAATAAACTATTAACATAGTAAACAGACAAACTACAGGATAACGGTGGCCTTATAAAAGGAATTTGGAAGTATTCCCTCCTCTTCACTTTTTTGGAAGTGTTTCAGAAGGATGGGCATTCTTTTTATCAGTACTTTTTGTATTCTAATTGATGTATTATAGTTGTACATACTTTTGAGGTACATGTGATATTTTGATACCTGTACACAATGTGTAATGATCAAATCAGAGTAAATTGGAATATCCATCATCTCATTTTTTCTTTGTGTTAGGACTATTGCAATTTCTTTTCTTCCAGCTATTTTGAAATATATAATAAATAATTTTTAACTACAATTTCCCTACTGTACCATCAAACACTAAAACTTATTTTTTCCTGTGATTTTGTACCCAATTAACCAACTTCTCTTTATCCCTTCCCTCCCATTTCCCTTCCTTGCCTCTAGTAAACCACCATTATACTCTCCACCTCCATGTAATCCACTTTTTAAGCTCCTACATATGAGTAAGAACATGTGTTATTTGTCTGTCTGTGCCTAGCTTATTTCACTTACATAATGACCTGCAGTTTCATCCATGTTGCTGCAAATGACAGGGTTTTATTCTTTAATATGGCCAAATAATGTTCCATTGTGTATATTTACCACATTTTCTTTATCCATTCATCTATCAACAGACTCAACTTCATTCCAAATCTTGGCTATTGTGAATAGAGCTGTAAAGAACATGGGGTTGCAGATATCTCTTCAATGTACTAATTTGATTGGCATTAATTTGTCTTTAAGTGTTTGGTAGAATGCACCAGTGAAGTCATCAGGTCCTGGGCTTTTCTTTCATGGAGGTTTTTGATTACTTAGTCATTCCACTTACTTTTATTATTTGTCTGTTCAGATTCCTTTTCTTTTATTTTCTTCCTTCCTTCCTTTCTTTCTCTTTCTTTCTTTTCTTTCTTTCTTTCTTTCTTTCTTTCTTTCTTTCTTTCTTTCTTTCTTACTTTCTCTTTCTTCTTTCTTTCTTTCTTCTTTCTTTCTCTTCTTTCTTTCTCTCTCTTTCTTTCCTTTTCTTTCTTTCTCTCTTTCTTTCTTTCTTAGGCAGAGTCTCACTCTGTTGCCCAGGCTGGAGTGCAGTTGCATGATATTGGCTCACTGCATGCTCCGCCTCCTGGGTTCATGCCATTCTCCTGCCTCAGCCTCCCGAGTAGCTGGGACCACAGGCGCCCGCCACCACGCCTGGCTAATTTTTTGTATTTTTAGTAGAGGCGGGGTTTCACTGTGTTAGCCAGGATGGTCTCGATCTCCTGACCTCGTGATCTGCCTGCCTTGGCCTCCCAAAGTGCTGGGATTACAGGTGTGAGCCACTGTGCATGGCCTCTTTCTTTTCTTTTTTTCTTTTCTTTCTTTTCTTTTCTTCTCTCTCTCTCTTTCTTTCTTTTCTTTTCTCTCCTCCTCCTCCTCCTCTTCCTCCTCCTCCTCCTTCTTCTCTCTCTCTCTCTCTCTCTCTCTCTGTCTCTCTTCTTGTTTATTTGTTTGAGACAGTGTCTTATACTGTTGCCTGGGCTGGAATGGAGTGGTGGGCTCACTGCAGCCTCAATCTCCCAGGCTCAAGCAATCATTCCACCTCAGCCGCCTGAGTAGCTAGAACTACAGGTGCACACCACCATGCCTGGCTAATTTTCACAAATCTTAAGTTAAAAATGAAAGATGGTGCAAGTTAAGGGTTTTAAATTTAGGGTTCTGAATATAAAAGCCTTTTAGGTATCTGAGTGGTTCCAGCCAAACATCCATTTGCTCTCGAGAACTGAGCATATTCAACAGTTTAGATCTTTCCCCATGTTGTCTCTCTTTTGATTCTGTATGTTTGGGACAGGAATAAAGAAAGGGCAAGGAAATAGACTGTAAGGAATCACAAAGAGTTGGAAATAGAGAGTTCTGATGTGGTTTGATCCCCCAAAAGATTGATTTGTTTTTTTTTCAAAAAATTATTTTTTAATTGACAAAAATTATGTATATTTATGGTATACAACATGATGTTTTGATATTATGAAATGGAAAAATCAAGTATTTTGTGTATGTGTTACCTCCCATACTTAACATTTTTTGGGGGTGAGGACACTTAATATCTATTCCCTTATCAATATGTTGTATCTTTTCAGGCATCATATTTATTATTAACTGTAGTCACTGTGATGTACTAAAGATCTCTTGACCTTATTCTTCTCAACAGAAATTTTGTGTCCTTTGACTGACATCTTGCCATAACCTGATTAAAATTCTCGTGTACTAAACATATTAGTACTGTAGCATATTTGGCCTTTAGATAATATATTTGCTATCGTATATATTTTGATAATATATCTATTAACACAGAAACTACCAACTTATTTTCCTATTTTACTCAATAGGCATTAAAAAGGTTTCTTCAGAAACGATCAGAGTCATATGCTAATATTCGTATATAAGGATATTAATTGCAACATTAATTTTAGTATGGAAAAATATGAATTGGCTATATGAATCATATTACATCAATACACTGAGATATCATAGTCATGAAAAATGAACTTGCAGCTTGGATCAATATGGCAGCCCAAACTCATATGCCTCCCTTTTCTCAGTCTCCCAAAATTGAGAAATGGGATTAGAGATCTGGTGAGTGTGCATTTTAAGATTAATTCCACCACAGCCCTGGAAAATAGAAAGTCATCAGTAGAGCAAAAATATTGAGAGATCTCTAAAAGACAGAAAGTGGATAAAACATAACTGATGAAGAAATTCATATAATCTACCTAGATTTGCCAAAATTATCTGACAGTGTTGCACCTTGATCTACTGTAAGTGCTACCTGGGCCCGATGGTGATGGTATTCCCAAAGCTTTGGAAATAAGGTTACCCTCTGAGTGTTAAAAAAAAACCATACACAATAAAAGAGTATCCAGATGTTGGATAAAACCCAGACCTTGTTTCTTCCTCCTGGAAGTGAGCTGTCTATAAGAAACAGAAAGTAGCCCCTCCCTTCACATGGAAGGCACGTTCGGCTCCTCCTCCTTTTTGGCGAGCATGGAAAATGCTTTTTGGCTACATGGTATATCTTGAGGTCTATAATTTATTGGAGTCACACAAATATGTGTGACTGAAGAGTTTTGGCATAAGGGGAACAAGGAGGGTTTCTGTGGTCTAAAATTATCTCCTTTCTGATCTGGGTGCTGGTTAAATGAGTGAGTTCTATTTGTGAAAATGTATTCAGATGTACATCAATGGTTTGGCTCCTTTATGTATATGATGCTTCAATAAATGTTAATGTAAAAATTAACAATAATTTATTGTATATTTTAAAATAGCAAAAAGAGTGGAATTAGACTATTCCTAACACAAAGACATGATAAATGCTTGAGGTGATGGACATCCCAATTACGCTGATTTGAATATTACACACTGTATACCTGTATCAAAATATCACATGTACTCTATAAATATATACAACTATTACATACCCATAATAGTTAAAAATAAAAAATTTAAAGTAAATAAAGTAATAACAAAAGCAAATCTGAAAAAAACTGGAATTTAAAAGGCATGCTTAAAAATCTAAAATTAAAATAAAAAACAGCTTTTTAAAATTT
This sequence comes from Homo sapiens, assembly GCF_000001405.40. Taxonomy (NCBI): domain Eukaryota; kingdom Metazoa; phylum Chordata; class Mammalia; order Primates; family Hominidae; genus Homo; species Homo sapiens. The sequence continues at coordinate 32,767,812 of NC_000009.12, read as the reverse complement.
ATACTCTATCATAGCCATTGAAATTATTTTAACTCATTAATATCAATCATTTTGTGCTCAGAAATATTTGAAGGATAACATTCGAAATGGTGCTTTTTGCTATTAACACATTAACATTACTGCTATCTATTAAACATATTTGACAATATAAAATTTCTAATCCAAAAAAATTAATGTAAAAATGTATGTAGACAAGTGCTTCTCTGCCTACCTGCATCATGTCTCCCAAATTAGTAATAAAAACTTAAACCAATTGCCATTTTATCTTTTGAGCCTAACTTTCAGAGAAATGTCTTATTCTACCCAAGATTCTTTTATTTCAAGGAAGAAAAAGCCATTTGAGGTAACTCTAAACCAGGGACACTATTGAAAGGATACTGGAAAATCTCACCAATTGTAAGGGCAGGAAGTATTGCTGGCCTTGGGTGTCTGGATATTGGCATCTTTGAAGGGCAGTCACTAATGGCACCTCTCTTCACCATGTGGTGCTGAAGAAATTGAGGAACAGAACAAAGGAGGCCAAAACACGCCTCTATTACTGATGGAGACGGGGCTGGAGGATGTGCCTTTCAGTCTATTAGCTAAGCATCTTTATCAACTCCAACCTCAGAATTCAGTTGACTTTACCCCATTCTGAGAAAACTGGACCTGGGCAGACCCTGCCTGGAGGAGGAGAAGATGCCTTCCATGTGAAGGGACAGGCTACTTCCTGTTTCTTTCACTTCCAGGAGGAAGAACAAGCCAGGCACACCCAGTTATTCTCCCAAATTTACCAGCTAGATAAGTAACTCACCTCAGAGTACGGAGAAGCCAAGATTGCATTAGGAAAAATCCCTCATTGTGGGAACCAGGAATAGGGACAAAGCCCTTTCTTTCTTGGACACTGTGATTGAGTTACTTCCTTTCTCCCAGTGTCTGTGTGTTCTCTCATCTCAACCTCTCAGCACATTTGCTTTGTTCCTGTCATCTCCCCTGGCGTCCACTTCTTATTCTTACCCTTGGCCTGATATGGTGGCCTCACTCCCTTAGTTTACCTCACTATCCAGCTTGGCTCCCACAGCTGACGCACTTGCCCTCCCAGTGTCCCCACTCCAAATTTCCAGCTCATCTTTTAAATCCAGGCTGCCCAAGACTCAAGCCAACAGCCAGTCAAATCGTTCATTCACTTGGTCAGACTAACGAAACTCACAGGAGGCTGATATATAAACCAGAAAGCCACTTCACTGATCTTCAGAGAGATGTGTTACTTTCCAGTGACTCAAATGTTCATATCTTCAGGAAACCGTAGTGGAAATCTGAATTTGTGATAATAAGCATTATTGACAATTTGTTAAGTGGGATAATGCTTTTTGGCTACATGGTATATCTTGAGGACTATAATTTACTTTAAAATAATTCAAAATAAAAATAGAGTATAAAATAAGGAGAGGCATCCATTTTGGTAAACAGTTTTGTAGCTTCTTACAAAATAGAGTTACTATATGACCCAGAAATTCTGCTCCTAAGTATCTACCCATGAGAAGTGAAAACATATATGCACATAAGAACTTGAACACACATGTTCATAATAGTATTACTCACAATAGCCAAAAAGTTGAGACAATCCAAATGTCTATCAACTGATAAATGAATAAACAAAATATGTTATAACCATGCAGTGAAATACTATTTGGCAATAAAAATTAACAAAGTATTAGTACATGTGCAACATGGAGGAACCTCAAAAACATTATGATTAGTGAAAGATGTCAGACACAAAGCAACGCATGGTATATAATTCCATTTGTACAAACTTTTCCGAAAAGGCAAATCCATAGAGATAGAAATAGATTAGTAGTTGCCTAGCCCTGGGGGTGGGAATGGAGAGTGACTGTAAGTGGGCACTAGGTCATTATACTTTCCCTTCTCATGGTCAAGCAAATGCTCTGTGTCCATGTCATGAAGATACTGAGTACCTACTGTGAGCTGGGCATTGTGATTGGTGCCAGATCTCAACTCCTAGAGACTGTGGGTAGAGTGGAAGGAATACTGGCTTAGGAGTCAGAAAATGTGGCTTCTTGTCCTGGCTCTGCTTTTCACCCGCTAGGTGAGCTGACCCTGTCACTTAGTATTTTACCTTGTTTTATTTAAGTGCCTTATTTGGGTGTCTGGCTATCATGATGGAGGGGACATTTGTCTGACTCTTCTAGACAGAGGTCTTCTATATTTTATAATATTTTATAATGCTTTATTTAAAAAAACTCATTTTAATTGCTCACCTTTGGTGGGCACAAAAACTTATAGTTCTGGCATAGCACTTACCATAGTGTATGACAATTTAATCTCTCTACACATGTGTACAGACTGTGCTCTTCTCAAGTGCAGGGAGGCCTATTCTGTGTGTGAGCTCCAGCACCTGACACACTGTCTGGCCAAGACTAAGCAAGCATTCAATACATGTTTGGTGAAAGAATAAATGAGCCTCACTGGTAAACGGGGATCCTAGCAGACACTGCAGGTGCCCGGGCTAACCCCTTGGAATTTGCCTCTTCACTTAGGCTGCTTCCTGAAAACTCCTGTCACCCTGAGCTTTTCTTCTGGCTGAGGGAGAACACTGGCCTTGGGGGCAAGGAAAGCTGGACGTGCCAGAGTGAATGGCTCTGGAGCTGTCCTCGACCAAGGATGGATGGGGAGTCAGTGGATAAAACCCCGACTTCTTCAGCCCACAGTTGGGATAAATAAGGCCAATCTACTGTTTCTTGGAGTCTCCAGGGGAATTTGTGCTCCAGTTTCCCAGGGGTAGCTGGCTGATTTCCTACCCCGAATTGCTTTCCTTCCCGTCTCTATCTTACTTCCCCACACCCTGCCTGTGCTTTCTAGGATCACCTCCCAAATAAACGACCTGCACTTAACTCCCTGCCTCAGGGTCTTGCTTCTGGGGAACCCAAATCCTGCCTACCTTAAAGGTTCTTATGGTCGTTGGGGACTCTGTGTTCTCTTTTCATTTGCAGCCCAGACCACATAGAGCTCTTCTGAAATGTACTATGACTCCATCCTTCTTCCCTTAGGATTCACAATTTGCTGGGAATCACCACTTCATTCTTCTTAGTCCAAAGCTGGACTTTTTAGAGGTTTAAAATAAAATTTTGAGATAATCAAGGAAATTTGAACATGAATTGATACTAAAGAATCGTTAATTTTGTTAGTGTTATAGGCATGATGGCTATGTCAGAAAACATCAATATTTTTTAGAACTTCACAGTGACCTATGTAAGGGACAATACAACAGAAAGGAAGAAAGGAGGGAAGGAGAAAGGGAGAGAGGGAGAAAGGAAGAAAGATTCCACTTCTAAGAAGACAGAAAGAGAAGGAAAGATGTAAAGAAGAAAAGAAAGAAAGCGGAGGAAATAAAGAGGGACAAATGAATCAAGTATGGAAAAAGCTTGAGAGTTATTAGGTTGGTGCAAAAGTAATTGCGATTTTTGCCGTTACTTTCAATGGCAAAAACCGCAATTACTTTTGCACCAACCTAATAGTAAATTTAAGTGATGAGTATATAGATGTTCATTGTATTATTGTGTGTCTTTTAAAATATTGTGAGATTTGTTGGAAAATTTAAATGACTAAAAAGAATATTTAAAAAGACTTCTGAGACAACTGCAGGAAATGATTGTGAGCGTGGGCTCTGAAGTTTCTTGGGTTTCAATCTGGGATCCTGTACTATCTAGCTGTGTGACCTTGGGCAAGTTACTCAACCTCTGTGTTCTCAGTTTCCGTTTAGGTAAAATGGATAGAATAATAGTACTTACCTCAAAGGATTGTTGAAGAGAATCAACAAGATGATATCCCTGAAGCACTGGGAATAGTGTCTGGCACACAGCACTGTAAGTGTTTATTATTACTACATACTATCATATAATGTTATATAATATCTTATTATTGTATTACTTAGTATTGTCTATTACACTAGTTCAATGGCATTCAACTGGGAGTAATTATGACTCTGTAGGAGACATTTGGAAATATTTAGAGATGTTTTGGTTGTTGCAACTAGGAGTGCTGCTGGCATCTAGTGGGCAGAGGCCAGGTGTATTAGTCTGTTCTCACATTGCTATAAAGAACTACCCAAGACTGGGTAATTTATAAAGAAAAGAGGTTTAATTGGCCCATGGTTCTGTGGGCTGTACAGGCTTCTGCTTCTTGGGAGGCCTCAGGAAACTTACAATCATGGAGGAAGGTGAAGGGAAAGCAAGCACCTTCTTCACATGGCGGCAGGAGAGAGAGAGAGAGAGGTGGGGGAAGTGCCACTTTTAAACCATCAGACCTGGTAAGAACTCACTCACTGTCATGAGAACAGCATAGGGGAAATCTGCCCCCATGATCCAATCACTTTCCACAAGGTCCCTTCCCCAATATTAGGAATTACAATTCAACATGAGATTTAGGTGGGGACACAGATCCAAACCATATCACCAGGGAAGCTGCTAAATATCCTATGCTTCAGAGGACAGCTCCACAGCAAATAATTATCTAGATCAAAATGTCAGTAGTGCTGAGGTTGAGAAACTCTGCAGTAGTGTTAGTAGGACATTGCAAAAAATATTTGAAAATACAGATAAGCAAAATAAAGAATAACCATTATCCATAATTCCACCATGCAGGAGCTATCACTATCCAAAGCTAGCTTCATCAAAATTAAGATGAGTCATAAAGAAAAAGCTCCTTTATCTCACTGCAGTGAGATATGAAGACAGTCGTGACCTGGGTTCATTTCTCCAAAACTGTCACAATGTGAGGAAAGTTATCCAACTTATTCATACCTCTGGGAAATGTACCATTTGGCATTTGACTAGGCTGTTATTTTCTATTAGAATGAAAGTGAATGAAACACAAGGAAACTATTTGAAGTCATTAATGATCTATCTCAAAAGTCTTGGTGGGAACCTACCCTAATACCATTTTTCTGAAAAACAAAACAGAACAAACAAAACAACAACAACAAACAACAAAAACAAAAACAAAAAAACTTGGCAGATCATATCAAAACCCTTTTAAAAGTCCATATTCTTTGAATTAGCAATTCCACTTCTAAAAACTTATATGAAAGAAATGATTAGAAAACATGCAAAGATGTTTGTACATTATTTACTGCCAACTGTATTGTTTTTAATTGTGAAAAATTGAAAGGACCTAAGTTGGAAACAACTAGTCAGTAGGGATTGGTTTATTACCTTCTAGTATGTCTATGCAGTCATTTCTTAAAAGACAATGTTTTCCTATGTAATGGTTACTTATGTAGAAAGATAGTCATAATGTATTCAGTGAAAAACAACCACAGGAAAGGACTGGAAGGGCTAATGTGTCACTGGGTGTCATGCAAAGGCTATAGGTGAACACCAGCAAACATTGTGGCAGGGGCTGGAGCTCACTGGGAGAAGGGTGAGAAGAGGCACCCCATCATCTCCAGCACCCTATGGGGGAAGCATGCTTGGGTCAAGGTGCAGCTGGACGCATTTGAGGACTGAGTTCTAGCAAGAGAACCTCACCCTCTGTTGCTGTCCTTTTTAATGGACCAGCCTTGTTATTGAGTAACAAATATTTTGCATTCAGTTGCTAAGCCAGGTCTACGTTTAGGTGCAGCTCTTTAGGGAGCTTCCTGAAGCCCCTGGAGTCTTCGGCTCCCCTGGTCCTGGGGGAAGTTGGTTTGAGCACAGCCACTTCTACTGCAAGGAGTATCAGTCCAAGGTCCCAGCTAGCTCATTGCCAGCAGCCTAGAAAGAGTTGTGAGGGTCAGCAGGCCTGTCTTCCCTTCTCACTTAGTGAAACGGCCATCTTTTTTCAGTCTTCAAATGAGGCGTTGTCCCAGATGATCTCTAAGGACCCTTTGAGCTCTGAGTATTTTATGATTCTAATATTTTAATCACTGTCAATGACACTTTCTGTTGTTACAAAGGATCTGTAAATTTCCCTGGGGTTTCACTGGCTGCAGTAGTGAGGTCCACTTGCTATAATATTACTGGACCAGCAGGCAGGTGCATCTCAGTGTTAGTCAACACTTTCCTGTTCTTCTCCCTCCTCTTTTTCTTCCTGGGTCTTCTCTCTGCCTTTCAGGAGGCTTATGTGGCTTAATTAACTCAGATCAGTCAAGTACTTTCAAGAGTCCAAGAGTAAAGTCAATGTCTTTCTACAAATAATAGCTCATTGGAAACTCAAGTCACTCACAGCATTATTAGCAGAAGATATTAGTCTTGCTGCAGTTACTTGAAGCCTATTAGTTCTAATGTGCAACATCAGCTCCTTGGAGAAAATCATGGCTCAGGGGAACTCACCTGAATTCCCTGAGTCCTTTGCATAAGGATTTGAAGGTGTGCTTAAGGCTGAGTGAAGGAATTGAGGGAGATGAAATGCCTTAAAGATATAACATGGATGTTTTTTGAAGGGGCCATACTCTGGTTGTGGAGAATTTTTTTAAAGGCGGGGTTTCTGTGAGTCTTAGGGGAAATGCCCTTCTCCAATTTCTGGTCTCAGGGGGTTGATTGATGGCAGAGGGTAGGAAAAGTCATTTAGACCCTAGAGAGTGAGGCAGTTTAACCGTCTCTGGCTTCAGCTCCCAGGAGCACACCGCGGCGCTAGAGAAGACCAGGAAAAAGGACCTGAGCCAGCTTGCCGTCTTAACAAAAATTTCAAACTTTGCAAAGCGGTATACCTTCTTATTCTCCAGTTCAGTATTGCCAGTGAAGTCATACTGAACGCAGACAAGGAAAAGAAAGAAAAAGGTAGGTCTGTGCACATTGTTTTATTTCTCTGTAGCCAGCCTTGTCCCAGGAAGACTTGTTTCTCATAAAATCCTGCCTAAGAATGGAATAGCTCCTAGCCTGCGAGGAGGGGGGACTCCTCGGGAAAGGCAAGTTCATTTCTTTTTCCCCATAAGCCTTGGTGAAGGGGAGCAATTTTGCCTCTGTCTGCCCTCTGTGGTCTTTTCCTCACTCCATCGCATCATATGAAAAGGAATATCAGGTCCAAAGTCAATGTAAACATTTACAAGATTCTGAGATGACCCAGGAAGCGTTTTTCTCAATGTAAGTAGGTCTGGGAACAGATCCTTGAGTTTTTAAAGACCCCTCCACGCTGAAGTTCAGTCTTTAGGCCCGGCCACCTTGGTAATTGTAATTTGCAGACATTGGTAGTGTTTTTCAGTCTTTTGATTCCACGGTGCTTGTTACTTACATGTATTCACATCAGCCCAAAACATTTCAGAGTTTTACTTTCAGTGGTGGTTACTGTGAACAAAAAGAAGTGGGAGTGTTTTCTCAGAGTATAGCCCTCCTCTCCTGTCCACTAGATTCTGAGAAGCCTTGGAAACAGCTTTAGCTTCAACTACTGCCCTGCTATGCAGGAGATCTGCGGCCTTGGGCGGGTTATAGATGCTCAGATCTTCTGTTTGTTTTTTCATCGGTAAGATGGGGAAAATAATATCTAATCCCTAGGTACCATGAGGGTCAGATGCGATATAAAATGCTGACTATATGTGAAGCTCTCAGCAGAGTGCTGGCCCATACCTAGGCATCTGCTGTGACCTGTGTGGGTGCCTCACCTGTCCTGGCAATGGGAGATGCTATAGTTTATTGAGTGCTTTTGATATTCTGGACTCTGTGCTAAGCACTTTACATTTACTATTTCATTCCCTCCTCACAGCAACCCTAAAGGTAGCACTATTAAGTCCCCAGTTTAGGAATGAGGAAACTGAGGCCTGGAGAGGTGGAGGAACTTGTACAAGGTCTTACAGTGAGTAAGTTGGACAGCAGAGTCCAAGTTCTTAATTTATTAGGTGTTGGTTGCTTTCCCCTCCTCCTCCATAACTTCCTGCAGGTCTTGGAGTTAACTTCCTCCAATTATGATTTTAAATCAGAGAAGACGGAACATTTGTAGATCACCTGCAGAAAAAGTCCATTCTGCCAAATTCTCAGTATCTTGTGATTCAAAATAGAGAGGCTGCAAGACACCTCAATTCATCACTCTTTGTCACCTTTTGCCCCTTTTGTTTCTGACTGACAGTTCCCATTTTAGCACTGAATCGAGGGCTTGGCAATACTATTCATGTCCAAGAACGAATTCAAGTGGTTTTGATTTAATTTTTATCAGAGTCTATTCTGAAAAGCCTGGGATACCTTGTGCTCCAGAAATTAACTTCTGGTAGCCACAATGAGAAGTACTGGAATGCTAAAGTGAAGCCAGTCAGGAGAAGTGCAGAGGTTACTAGAATCCCTCATGGGAATCCATGTTTCTTCAAATAACCTAGACAACATTTTGTGGGAGGTGTGATTCATGTTTTTACCCCCATAAAGTTTTAGTGATTCTAAAAGTGATATGTGTTTATTATGGAAAATTTGGGAGGCATAGAAAAATATAAAAAGAAAATTTATATTAATCAATCATGGTTCTACTACCGCTCTGACACAACCACTCATGGAGGTGTGGAGGTTTATTTACTTCTAGCTCTCTTTCCAATGGTTCTAATAAATAGTTGGGGTCTTTGTAATATACATATATATTTCCCTGTTTCTTATCTTGTAATGAAAACATTAAACTGTAAATTATTTGCAAGTATACAAATGAAAACTGTGATGCCTGCATAATATTGAGTCAAGTGGAATTGACATTTTAAAGAAGAATAAAATGTACCCTATGTTAACGGCCAGTCAGTTTAGAAATAGAATATTGCCAATATTTTAGAAAGCTCCCTTTGTGCTCCTACCTGATTGCATCCCTTTTTCATCTTGAAGGGTAACCACTATTTTTGAGAATATTATTTTCTTACTTTCAGCTGTGGTGGACCATTACTTTGGTGGCCCCCTAAATGAACCATGGCTCCCTCCATTCTGCCCTAGTGTAGTCTCCTCTCACAGTGACTTCTGAGTTTGTCCATATGACTTGCTTTGACAAATGGGACATTAACAAGCATGGAAGAGAGATTTAATAAGTGCTTGCACATTGGGATAAGTTTTTGGGGAATATTTCTTCTTGCAACCCTGAGACCACCATGCTATGAGGAAGCTCAAGCTAGCCAGGTGGAAAGCCCTCATGGATGAGATCTGAGGAACCTAGCTGAGAGCCAGAACCAAGGCCCCATACTTATGGCCCCAGTCAAGCTGTTCCAACCAGACCTGATATTTGAGGCAACCCAGCTGAAGCTCCAGACATCATGGAGCAGAGATGAGTGATTCTTGGTGTGTTCTGTGCAACTCCCTGGCCCATAGAATTGTGAGCAAATAGAATCATGGTTGTTTTAAGCCACTAAGTTTTTGTATGGTTTGTTATGGCAGCAATAAGTAACAGCACAACCTACGTGGGCATCCCTAAACAATACATTATTTAGTTTTGTCTATTTTTTGGACTTTATATAAAATAGAAAGCTACTATATATTTATTTTGGTGATTGTTTCTTCTGTTAAAATTATATTTGAGAGACATCTCCATGTTCTGTGCAATTGTGGCTCATTCATTTTATTTGATGAGTAGTGCTTCACAACTATTTATTCATTCTACTGCTGATGGACATGTGGGCTGTTTCCAGTTTTGGGTTGTCAGAAACAGTGTTACTATGAATATTCTTGTACATATCTCCTGGGGACCATGGGCAGGAGTTTCCCTAGGGTATATTCTTAGGTGTAGAATTGCTGGATTGCAGGATATACATGTGCACAGTCAACTTTATTAGACATTACTAAATTGTTTCCCAAATGTGTCTCCTTTTACTACTCCCACTAGGAGTGTATACAAGTTTCCACTGTTCCTCGTCTTTGCTGATAATTGGTTTTATCAGACTTATAAATTTTTGTCTATCTTGTAGTTATATAGTATCTCATTGTAGTTTTAATGCAGCTCCCTAATGACCAATGAGCCCCTTTTTATATTTATCCACCATTTGGACATCCTCTTTTCTAAATTGCCAGTTCAAGTATTTTGCCAATTTTTCTATTTAGTTGCTTGCCTTTTTCATATCAGCTGCTCTTGGCCAGGCACTGAGGCTCATGCCTGTAATCCAAGCACTTTGGGAGGCCAAGGCGGGCAGATCACGAGGTCAGGAGATTGAGATCATCCTGGCTAACATGGTGAAACCCCATTTCTACTAAAAATACAAAAAATTAGCCGGACATGGTGGCGGGCGCCTGTAGTCCCAGCTACTTGGGAGGCTGAGGCAGGAGAATGGCGTGAACTCGGAGGGTGGAGCTTGCAGTGAGCCGAGATCGCCCCACTGCACTCCAGCCTGGGTGACAGAGTGAGACTCCGTCTAAAAAAAAAAAAACAAAAAACAAAAAATGCCAAAAATCATATTGGCCATTCTTTATAGGTTCTAGGTATGCCTTTTGTTCCTTACGTGTGTTACAAATATCTCTTCTTCTTTTCACTATATTTTAGGGTGTCTCTTTGGGCAATTTTAATACCAGCAAATTTATCGGTACTTTCTTTTATAGTTAGTGCTTTTTATGTCTTGTTTAAGAAATCCTTTTCTACCCCATGGTCATGAGATATTCTCCTATATTTTCTTCTAAATGATTCTTTTAAATGATGTGATGGTAGGGACTTCATATATCTGGAGTTTGTTTTTGTGTATGGTAAGAGGTAGGAATTAATGTAGCATTTTCCCCCCCATGTATATCCAATTATCCCACCACTGGTTATTGAAGAGCTCATCCTTTCCCCGTTGATCCACAATGCTATTTTTGTTATGTGTCAAATGTCCATATATAGTGGGTCTGTTTCTGAGTTCTCTGTTTATTCTATTGGTGGCTTTGTCTATCCTTTCTTGGTCTTGATATCTGGCAAGGAAATCCTCTCATCTTATTCTTCCTTAAGAGTGTCTTGGCTAGTCTTTGTATTTCTGTATTAATTTGAGCATCAGCTTATTAAGTTTCACAACATATATGTGGGTTTTTGATCAGAATTGCATTAAATCTACACATCATTTGGATGAACATTCTACATCTATTTGGTTATTCTTAATGTATTTCAATAAAGTTTTTACAATGTTCTCTATTAAAGTCTAGCACATTTTTTGTTAGGTACTTAAAAATCCTATTGTAAATAGTATGTAATTTTTTTTCTTTGAACATATCAGAATACACATGATTTCTGTGTTCAAAGTTATGTGACTCTGGGAACAAGAGAAGGCAATTTAATAAGTGACACTTTGAAGTAAGAACAAGAAAGGTGACCTATGGAAACTTTTGGAAAATTTACTTATTTTTTGTGTGTCTATGGATAGGAATCATTTTTATTGCTATCAGTTATCTACAACTCGTAGAGTTGTAAAAATAGCTCAGACAATTAAAGGTGACCTCAGAGAATCAGATAAATGGGAAGGGTATGTTAATTTTTGATTTTTTTTTATTTCAATAGATTTAGGGATACAGTGGTTTTTGGTTCCATGGATGAATTGTAGTGGTGAAGTCTGGGCTTTTAGTGGACCACTCACCCGAATAGTATACATCGTATTCAATAGGTAACCCTCACCCTGCTTCCACTTACCCCTCTTTTGATTCTCCAATAAATTTAGGTTAACTCCATGAGCTTTGAGGTTTTAGTTACTTGTGTTACGATCGTAGTGATACGGGAGTGGGGCAGGAAAGTGCTGGGTAGAGAAAGGCGGGTCCCTGGCTAGGGGTCCATCCCCACAGACCTAGGTGAGGACAGACAATCCTGCTTTCACCCACAAATGTTGCATTTTCCAAGACCACCCTGGCCCGCCATGCCTCCACCCTGGGCCTATAAAAACCCGAGACTCTAGCAAGGCAGAGACACAGAAGCTGCTGGACGGTGAGAGGAACACGTTGACGAAGAAGACAAGCGGCTGGACAGCGAGAGGACGTTGAAGGGAAGAGCACACTGACAGACGCCGGCACCCGGCAGGCCATCCAACGGCGGGGACGAGGCGGAGTTTGGCCAGGGCGATCGGAGGAGAGCTGGGGCCACAGAGAGGCCCACCTCCAGGGGAAGACCATCTCCCTTCTGGCTCCCCGCATCGGCTGACAGCTACTTCCACTCAATAAAACTTTACACTCATTCTCCAAGCCCACGTGTGATCCGATTCTTCCGGTACACCAAGGCAAGAATCCGGGATACAGAAAGCCCTCTGTCCTTGCGACAAGGTAGAGGTTCTAACTGAGCTGGTTAACACAAGCCGCCCTGCAAACTAAAAGAGCAAAACTAAAGGAGCACCTTGTAACCCACGCCCACTGGGGCCTCAGGATCTGTAAACATTCACCCCTAAACACTGCCGTGGGGTTGGAGCCCCACAGCCTGCCCGTCTGTATGCTCCCCTAGAGGTTTGAGCAGTGGGGCACTGAAGAAGTGAGCCACAATCGCACACCCTGCGAGGGCGACAAGGGAACCTTTCCCCTTTCAATAGGCTTCCATCAGCCTCAGCTTCAGAAACACTCGACAGGTACGATTTTTCCCATTCATCTCATGTGGTGCTGTGGGAAAGGAGATGTGTTCCAGGACCCGCAGGTCCTCAGCACACCCAGCAGCAGCAGCGGGTGCCACCTATGCAGACCATATGGCACTTCTTTCCAAAACTGTTGCCTCACATAAAAATCCAACAAATATTTCTTAGGGATCTACATTGTGCTTAGTTTTGTGACTGCAAAACCAAATGATAAATAGTTTCTGCCCTTAGGGAATTCACCGTGTAGTGGAGAGGCAGAAGTATCAATAGGCTATTAACACTGAATAGGGAAAGAGCTAGAGAGAGATAAGTACAGAGTCCTGCAGGAGCTCAGAAAAGAAGGTGATTGTGTGAGGATGTTTCCTGCTTGCTCCTCCAGGCCTGCTCTCACCCTTCTTCACCCAGCATTCTGCCCTAGAACACTGGCTTGCGTGAGCTATGTCATTGGACTCCTTTGTCTCCCAGTCTCTGGCTGCACTTGTTCATGGGGCAGCAGTAGGTGATGGGAGGTGGAGGAGGAGAGTGAGGTGGGGTATTTATTCCCCTGGCTTCCCCTGCAGTGTGGCCTTGGGCTGGCCGCATCCCTCCAACAAGAACCACAGCTCCACACAAGGTGGCCGTCTCCATACCGCTTTCCTGCCAGTTCCAACAATCACTCTTCCCTTTGCTGTCAGGCCTCAGGTGGAAACAGCCCTCCTCGTAGCACGCTGGGTATGGCACTAGCCCTTGTATTTTCCTTATAAACTGCTTATACCTCTGTAAATAATCCTGTAGCAAATCTTTGCCAAATTATCCTTATTTCAGTGTGTCATTTTTTTCCTCCTAGGACCCTGACTAATAGGATGTCTAATCCTGTTGGGGCTATGGGCAGCATGGTGACCCAGCAGGGAGGCTTCATAGAGGAGGCGACATTAAGGTTAGGTTTTAAAAGCAAAACAGGATTTTGTCTAAAATTAGCCTTAATTTCTCATAATTCATAGGCAGTAGTTAAATTGAAACTTCCCCAGGGACAATCTCTCCATACTGTAAGTTTTCCTCATCATCACTGGTTCTCCATTTCATAAGAAAACCTTATTATGAACAAACAAAAAAGATTCCCCAATGATGGTAGTTCTTTTGGCATCCGTGGATTGAAAGTATTTTATAATGTAAAAAATTTCTTTTTAAAATGAATTCACATTTAATTAATCCCAGTAGCACACATGTAGATTTGAAAGTAGTACATATATGTGTGAAATTTTTTTTTTAATTCTGTCTGCAGATAATTCTTGGCTCATGTGTAAGTTTGAGAACCCTTTGAAAAAATTCTGTGTCCTCTCTCCTAGGGGTTCATGGCCAATGTCAGGAACCACAGATCTACACAGAGTGTCTATATCCCTCTTCTCTGCCACTGCACTCCTTCCTGTGCACAGGCTTCCATATCATCAAATATTAGAGACAGAAGGAGAACAATTTACCTGATCCAATCACTCTATTTTGTAGGTAAGAAAACAGAGGTGAATTTACATTTTCAAGGGACACGTAGCTAGAGACCAAGTCAAAAGGAAAACTTGGGTCCCTTGTCTCCTGGTCTAGAGTTTTGTCTACTATTAAAAATTGTCGTTATCACATGGTAACATTTTGTGTCAAAAATTCGATCTCCCAGTGGCCCCCAGATTGAACAGATGGTAAACATTTCCTTTCTCTTCCTGCCCTCCCACTCTTTGCTCATTCTAAGGCAGCGAGTCCTGGAATGGCATGGAGTCTGTTCTTAGCCAAGGGCTAATTCCTACATCACATGAATAGTGGGAGGGACTAGGCTTAGCCCACTCCAGATTAAGGGCAAGGGTGGTCATCTACTCCCCACCCCCAACCCAAGAGCCAGAGGAATTTAAGTTGGCCATGAGCAGAACAGACAGGGCCTAAAAAGGGAGGGAGCTCCTGAGCATGAGGGCAACTGGGTTGGCCTGAGATGCTCTAGATGAGACTATGGGTAGCCCTGTATGAACTGCCATTCTTGGGTCTGCAGAGGATTTCACAACTCAAGTGTACATGGTCATTCATCCCCATGATCCTGTCTGTGTTCTGTGAACAGGAGGGTAGATACTGAATCCCTGAGTCTCAAGAGAGGTGACCTGGCCAACAGCATCTGGCCTTGGAAGGCAAAATGTGGGGCCAGAACTCAGATCCCCTGACTTCTTGTCATCAACAGGATGTCACTATAGTAGAGTCTACAAGGTCACTTAAGGGCTTGAAGGTGGAGCTTTGCCCATCAGAGATAAATACATTGGCTCATTATGTTTCATTCCTGAAGCCAGAAAACAGATTTGACCCAGTCAGTGGTATAACCTTGAGTAGGAGGGCTCTAGCCAGATAGTGAGCAAGTTTAGAGGACAAAGGGGTCTTCACAATGAAAAGATCTGACTATTTTTTGCAATCAGAGGCATCTACAGACATTTGAAAACTGTTACAGCTCACTGAAAAATGAATAGCCCTTCCAGGAAATGCCTCTATTGTAGGGTGTTTCCCATGTAGAAAGAACTTGGTCTTATGGGAGTAGTAGTGAATGTTTATTGTTCTGTCTGCTGAGTTATGTTAGACATATAATTTGACTGAGATCTGATGTATTCTTATAGTTCTTAGTCTTCTGGTTACTGCTGATTGGCCAGAGATGAACATATGATCCAAGTGGAGCCAATTAGACTATCCATCCCATTGGCCACAGTGGATTTTCTGGGAATGGGCACCTGAGCCAAGATGAGTTAATGAAAATCCTTTTCTGGGATTATTTTTTCTTGAGTTGTGTCTGGTGACAAAGCTGGTGATAAGAGCCTGCTGCTGCTACTAGTCGCGTTTCTGGTGACTTCTAGAAGACTAAGAGAAAACTGACATACAGAGAGAGGCTGAAATAAAGGGTCAAGAGGGAGTCCTGGTTGCATTCTTGTCCTGGTTTTAGTTGACTTTCAGGCCTTTTTTTTTTTTTTTTTTTGAGACAGAGTCTCACTCTGTTGCCCAGGCTGGAGTGCAGTGGTGCAGTCTCAGCTCACTGCAACCTCCTCCACCCCTCTGGTTCAAGTGATTCTCATGTCTCAGCCTCCCGAGTAGCTGGAACTACAGGCATGCACCACCACACCTGGATAATTTTTTGTTTTTTGTTTTTTGAGCTAGAGTTTCACTCTTGTTGCCCAGGCTGGAGTGCAATGGCACAATCTTGGCTCACTGCAACCTCCGCCTCCCAGGTTCAAGCAATTCTCCTGCCTCAGTCTTCCCGAGTAGCTGGGATTACAGGCATGCACCACCATGCCCGGCTAATTTTGTATTTTTAGTAGAGACGGGCTTTCTCCATGTTGGCCACGCTGGTCTTGAAATCTCGACCTCAGGTGATCTGCCCGCCTCGGCCTCCCAAAGTGCTGGGATTACAGGTGTGAGCCACCTTGCCCAGCCAATTTTTGTATTTTTAGTAGAGATGGGATTTCACCATGTGGCCAGGTTGATCTCGAAGTCCTGACCTCAAGTCATCCACCTGCCTCGGCCTCCCGAAGTGCTGGGATTACAGGCATGAGCCATTGCACCCGGCCAGGCCATGTATTTTTATAATTCAGTTGTAGAAGTAAAACAAAATCCATTTGTCACTTGCAACTAAGAATGCTCACTAATTCTGATGCGGTTTAAAAGCTGTAATTTCTTGAAAGTAAACTTCACATCTTATTCATCTTAAAATCTCTAGTGTGCCACCACCACATGATTTTCTCTGAGTAGATCCAGAGGGATTTATTAACAAATATTATTTATTAAACTTCTCTTATCCCAGACCCCTAATGTATGTTGAATGTCTGTCTCCAGGTCTACGTAGGGAAATCCCTATAGTGAAACTTCTAGAGAACTGAGTGTAACTCAAGGAAACATCTTCTGTTTTAAGAAATGCCTTCAGAATTCTTGGCCTGGAATTGCTATTGAGAAGGCAGAGTAAGCCCTGGACAGGACCAAAGCCAAGTCAGGAACTCATCCCAGAAGTAGTTGGAGAGTTTGTCCTAGAAATTAGGGTTCTGAAATTCCCCCAGACCCAGGAGGCAAGGAGGCCATGACCTTTGTAAGGAAACCAGATCTTAGGGATATAACTCTTGGAGGCCTCAAGAGTTTTTAGCAGAGAGGAGTTTGGGGGTAGGAGGCAGAATAGGAGCCAAAGAGCCAGCTCCTGAGATTCACTTTCTTCTTAGCCTCTTCTCACATTCATTTGTTTGTTGGTTAGTTCATTCATTCATTCATTCATTCGTTCCTATGTCCTTGAGTACCTATTATGTGCCAGGCACTATCCCAGTGCTACTGCCATAGCTTCCTTTATATCCACTGTTGATGGATGGTGTCCACCGAGGTTCTGATCAGGCGGTCTGAGTGTGGCAGGGCTTCAGGAAGAACAGTCAGTCATCCTGTAGCAGGGGAGGTGGAGGTAGATGGGAAAGGGGCTTTGGAGAGGTATGAAGATAGCCAGGACTGGAGAAAATTCTGGAGATAAAGGAACACTCATTGAGGTGAGCCTGATATTTGAAACTGCTTTTCTCTTCCTTGTCTTGTCTTTTCTTTCTTTCTTTTCTTTTCTTTTCTCTTCTCTTCTCTTTTCTCTTTCTCTCTTTCTTTCTTTCTCTCTCTCTCTCTCTCTCTTTCTTTCTTTCCTTTCTGAGATGGAGCTTTGTTCTTGTTGCCTAGGCTAGAGTGTAATGGCACGATCTTGGCTCACTGCAACCTCCACCTCCTGGGGTCAAGTGATTCTCCTGCCTCAGCCTCACGAGTAGCTGGGACTACAGGTGCATGCCATCACACCCAGCTAGTTTTTTGTATTTTTAGTAAAGACAGGGTTTCACCATGTTGGCCAGGCTGGTCTCAAATCCCTGACGTCAGGTGATCCACCCGCCTCGGCCTCCCAAAGTGCTGGAATTACAGGTGTGAGCCACCATGCCTAGCCTCCTTCAAAGTATTTCTCTTTGATTCTTAAGTAGCAAGGACAAAGAACTTGAGAAACCAAGTAGAAAGTGACTTCTAGGAGGCAAAGAATTTGAGCAGAGCTTTTATCTGTTTCTTATGGCAGGGGAGATAAAAATCGGAGTTTAGAGCTATAGACACAGCAAAAACCTGAGAGGCCAAAAGCCTGCAGAAAAATGAGACAGTCTAAACCACTTATCTCCTGGAGGTATTCACTGACTTAAAAAAGAGGCAGTTAAGGGGCAAAGTTGCCAAACAGAGCTTTCTCACAATGGTGGGGAGATAAGAATTGGATTTTAGGGTTTTCCAAGGAGAAAAGGCCCTGAAAAAAACTCCAAGAAATTCTAGAACTGGAAAAATGCCCCTCTTAAACACTCCCCAAATGGCCTGAAATTAAAAACACAATAGATTAAGAATATGTAACAGCTATCTGAAGAAATGGTTATTTATCTGGAAGATAGATGAATATAAAATATCCAGACTGAAGCATACAGTGTTAGGAAAAAAATATAGAAAATACAGAAAAAAGCACAGGAGACATGGAACTAGGTGACAAGACCTAACACACATGTAACTGAAATACCTAAAGGAGAAAACAGAGAATGATTTAGAAGTAATATTTCAAGCATTAAAGGATGAAAAATGTACAAAATGGGTAGAAGGCATCAAACCATAGATTCAAGACATAAAACACAGTAGTATAAATACAAAGACAACCACATGTAGGAACATCATAGTAAAAGTTCTAATAGAGGAGAAATACAGAATAAATATTTGAGTAATTCAAAAGAAAGTAGGAAGAGAGAAAAAGGAACACAGAGGAGGAAGAACTAGAAAATAGTAACATGATAGATACAAATTCAAATGTGAGTAATTACATTAAATATAAATTGACATACATCAATTAAAAAGCAAAAAGAAATAGAAAAAAACCCCACAATTGTATGCTTCTTACTAAGAGACATACCTTGAATGTAAGGACTTGGACAAAATAGATTTTAAGGCAAGACGTATTAAAGATGACATTTTAAAGGGTTAATTTACCAGAAAGATACAATAGTTCAAGTTTGTATGAACCTAATAACATAGCTTCAAAATATGTGAAACAAAATCTAACAGTCCTAAATAGGGAAGTGAACAATCTTACAAATATAGTGGAAGATTTTAACAACTTTTCCCAGTAACATATGGAAGAATCAAACATCAGTAGAGATACAGAAAATTTAGAAAACTTAATCGATAAATTAATCTAATTTACATAATAGAACAGTGTATCCAGCAACTTCGGAACACATATGTTTTTCAAGTAAGTCTCAAAGAATCTTTTATTTTTACAAATCAATAACAAAAATAACTAGAAAATCTCCAAATATTTAGAAATCAAGTAATATACATCCAAATATTCCATGAGTCGAAGTTTCAATAGAAACTTGAAAATATTATAAATTGAATGATAATGAAAATATGACATACAAAATATATGAATGATGCTAAAACAGTGCATAGAGGAAAATTTTTGTCCTTAAATGTATATATTAAAAAAGGACTTAGAGCACATTATCTAAACTTTTATCTCAAAGAGTTAAAAAGGAACAACAAATTAAGAAGGTTGAATAAATGAAATAATAAAGATAAGAGTAAAAATGGAAAAGTCATAGAACAGAAGTCAACACATCTAAATGTCAGCTCTTTGAAAAATCTAATAAAATCAATAACCCCTAGCAAGATTAAGCAGCAAAAGAGAGGGAGAGGGAGATGGGAGAGCGGGTTGGGGGGTGGAGAGAGAGAGACAGAGTAAGCATGCAAATTACCATCATTGGGCATGAAAAACAGGATATCACTGAAGATCCTACTAAAGTTTTAAAAAAAGTTGGTATTATTAAAGAATTTATGTCACTTAACAAAAGTTCAAATGAATGAACAATTTCTTGAAAAACACATTCTTATCAAAATGGACACAAAAAGAAACAAATTCTAGATAGCCCTATAGCTATTTAAAAAATTAAATCTGAAAATTGCAGTCATTCCATATAGAAAACCCCAGGTCATATGACTTCCCCAGTGGACCCTTCCAAACATTCAGGAAAGAAAGAAAAACAATCTTATATAAATTCTTTCATAGAATTAAAGAAATAATCCTAGCTCATTTTATAAGGCTAGGATAATCTTGATGCCATAACCTAACAAGAATATTCATGAAAAGAAGAGTACAGGTCAGTATTCCTCATGAACATAAATGCAAAAATGCTAAACAAAAATTAGAAAACTGAATCCAGACATTGATTTAAAATTCATGCAATGTTTATAGAAACACAATTCGTGGTTGCAAAATCCTGGAACCAACCCAAATGCCCATCAATCAATGAGTGGATACAGAAACTGTGTGTATATATATATATACACGATGGAATACTACTCAGCTATAAAAGGCATGAATTAACGGCATTTGCAGCAACCTGGATGAGATTGGAGACTATTATTCTAAGTTAAGTAACTCAGGAATGGAAAACCAAACATCATATGTTCTCACTGTTAGGTGGGGGCTAAGCTATGAGGACGTAAAGGCATAAGAATGATACAATGAACTTTGGGGATGAGTGGGAGGGGGTGAGGGATAAAAGACTACAAATATGGTGCAGTGTATACTGCTCGAGTGATGGGTGCACCAGGATCTCACAAATCACCACTAAAGAACTTACTCATGTACCCAAATACCACCTGTATCCCAATAACCTATGGAAAAATAAAATTAAAATAAAATAAATGTAACATCAAAGTTGGGTTCAATCCAGGAATGCAAAGTTTATTTATTATTTGAATATGAATGTAATTCAACACATTAACAGATTGTCTCTATAGGCATTATAAAAACAATTGATAAAATTAAACTTTCATTCATGGTTTGAAAGGAAAACAAAACAAAACAACATCTTTGGGCAAACTAGAAGACTTGGTTAGTTTAAGCCTTAAGAAAAATCCCAATTTAGAATATGTTTCTCATCCTGGGATGTCACTGGAAAATGCTTTTATTATGAGCAGAACAGCATCCATGAGCCATTGGTAAAAATGTCCACAATTACAGACCAGTCATACTAATAGCTTCCTTTTATTGAGCATTTACAATGTGTCAGACACTGTGTCAATCCATTCTTACTTAATTCCCACAGAAACTCAATGAGATATGTTGTCATCTTCCCTGTTTTATGGATGAAGTTCTAAGTAGAGGTTCGGAGAAGGTAAGTAATTTACTCAAAATGGCATAGCCAAGGTTCAAAGAGATCTTTCTGACTTCAGAACCCAAGATTTTAACAAATGCAATTGCCAGGAAAATTTCCCATTGGCACCAGCATCTCTGTTTCTGTTTCTCTGTGCCATATTCCGGAAAGATGTACAGAAGGGTAAATCCACCACTGCTGTCTAGAGGGTCCTGCCCTGCTGCTCCACATATCCCTTCTCATAGCACCCTTTCGCTTGCTGTGACTCATTTTCTGTCCTTCTATTGAGATTCAGCAGGTTATGGCTGCTCAGGTGACAAATACAACTATGACTAAATCTATAAAGAGAGAACAAATTTGATGTCCAAGGCCCTATATTTGTGGAGTGTGTGGCGGAATTCCTCTATAGGAAAAAGAAACCTGTAAGTTTCTAAAACAGGCAGTTGGATGATAGAGTGGGCAGAGACAGTTTGACTTTTGATTCGTGTTATGCCTTTTCCCCACTTATCATTTTTATATTGTTTCTTGAAAAGAAAGTCATTCATACTAGCATAGTTATGAATCTTATCTTTGATTTATCCCTTGTATTTTCTATCAGACTTAGGATACCAGTTGTCTTTTCAGGAAGACACTGTCACTTTTAACATAAAATTCCTACATGTAGGAAGTTGGGACTAAAGATATCAGCAACTGCACAAATGGCCCTGTGTCTCTGTCTTATTTTTCAATGTCCTTTGCTCTCAATCCTGTATCACTTTTTATGTAAGAGGCTGTATCTCGAGAAGTAGGTTCTCAAGACCATACAAGGAGTCATAGCTCTAGGTTAGATTTCACCAAGATAGCTGGGAATTGAAGACTACAGGAGCTGCTGAACTGACACCATCTACCCTGCCCTTGTATCAGTGAAGGGCTCAGTAGCAACAATACATAGAAGAGAGGAAGGGAAGAGAAGGGTGGAGATAGAGCATGAGCCTTGGAATCGAGCAGACTGATTTGAATTCCAGCTCCACCGTTCAGTAACTCTATGAATCTTGGCAAATTAGTTTCTCTGAACCTTGATTCCTTTGCTGTCTTTGTTGTTGGTGGTAGTGCTTTGTGTGGATAATGAAACTTTCTGACATTCTATGCAATTTTTTGTATGTAAGTACATATGTGCTTCTCTTTCTATGGAGAGGATCCATTATTTTCATAATATATTCAAAAGGGGTCTCTGACCCCAAACAATATAATCACAGCTATAAGAAGACATAAAAAACAACTGCTAAATAAGTTCTTATGATTGCTATAAATAAGTGTTACCAACCTGTCAGCCAAACTTTTCGAAATGTTGAGGGCTCTCCTTCAAATACGTTTCCTTGACATCTGGTATCATTGGTACAAAAATGGGGGAAAGGTATACGTTCTTTTTCCCAACCCACATTGCTTTTATGTCTCAAATATCTCTGGAAGATACACACAAAAATTAATAACACTTTGCCTAAGGAGAGGAAAAGTGGGTGGCTGGGAGTTGGGAGTGGGAGGAAAAAATTTCACTTACTTTTATACATCCTTTTTCACTTTCTGAATTTTGAACCATATTCATTCATTATCTGGTCAAAAATAAACTTTAAAAATAAGAGAAAAAGAGTACTAAGAAAACTTTACAAGTGAAAATCAATATTTTGGTCTGAACTGTAAATCTTTAAAAATTCATTTTTTTATTTTTTATAATTTTTATTTATTTATTTTATTTATTTATTTTGAGACAGAGTCTTGCTCTGTCACCTAGGCTGGAGTGCAGTGGCACCATCTTGGCTCACTGCAACCTCCACCTCCCAGGTTCAAGCAATTCTCCTGCCCCAGCCTCCTGAGTAGCTGGGACTACAGGAGCATGCCGCCACACCTGGCTAAATTTTTTTGTATTTTAGTAGAGACGGGGTTTCACCGTGTTGTCCAGGCTGGTCATGAACACCTGACCTCAGGCAATCTGCCCTTGACAAATAACTGTACATATTTAGGAGGTACAATGTTTTAATATATGTTTATATCATGGAATGATTAGCTAATTAACATACTCATCACCTCGCATACTTATTTTTTCATGGCAAGAATATTAATAACCTACTCTTAGAAAACTTGACATGTATAATACATTATTATTAACTATAGTCACCATGCTGTGTAATAGCATGGTGAAACTTATTCTCTGAAACTTATTCCTCCTAACTTACTGAAACTACCCTTTGAATAACATCTCCCCATTCTCATCCCCCTTAATTCTATCCTCTGGAATGACAGTAGAATGGTCACCACCATTCTGCTCTCTACTCTATAGGTTTGACTCTTTTAAGATTCCACATACAAGTAAGATCATGCAGTATCTGTCTTTCTGTAACTGGCTTATTTCACTTGATATAATGTCCTCCAGCTTTATTCATGTTACTGTAAATGACAACATCTCCTTCTTGTTAAAGGCTGAATAGTACTCCATTGTGTATATATACCACATTTCTTTATCCATTCATCTGTTGATTGACATGTATGCTGCTTCTATATCTTAGCCACTGTGAATAATGCTGCAGTGAACATGAGAGTGCAGATAGCTTTTTGACATACTGATTTCAGTTCCTTTGGCTATGTACCCTGAAGTGGGATTGCTAGATCATGTGGTAATTCTGTTTTCAATTTTTGAATGATAAATTTTAATGACCATGACTGAATTGGCCAATTTAGACAAACACAAGAGTTTCTGGTTGAATGTATCTAAACAAACTCTAAGAATAACTAGAACTTGCTAGTTTCTTCATTTCTGATATTTCAGTATTCCCAATATTTCAGCTTTTGTGTTTCAAGTTGGTTATAAGGTTTGGGTCTAATCACCTTTGGTGGTTTTAAGAACTCTCTTTAAGACTCTCAAATTATTATGTTGGAGTTTAACAGCAAATACATCTGCATCCACGTTGGATGTCTGCTGAATTTTGTCCTAAACTCCAGGTATATAATATGTAGTCATGGCCCAGCCATCTCCTGATCCTAGCCTGTGATGTTTAGGCCTTCAAATTTAACTAAACATTTTAATGTGTATCACGTGGAAGCAGAAATAAGCCTTGTTAGGAAACATCCTATCAGAGAAGGATTGCCTGCTTGGCTTCACCATTCTGGCTGAGCCCCAGACACCTAACTGTAATAGTGAAGTGTTGTGGGAAGTCAGGGACCCCGAATGGAGGGACTGGCTGAAGCCATGGCAGAAGAACATAAATTGTGAAGATTTCATGGACATTTATTTGTTCCCCAAATTAATACTTTTATAATTTCTTATGCCTGTCTTTACTGCAGTCTCTGAACATAAACTGTGAAGATAAGGGATGAAATACGCCCTGGTTTCCTGCAGCGCCCTCAGGCTTGCTAGGATTAGGAAATTCCAGCCTGGCAAATTCTAGTCAGACCGGTTGTCTGCTCTTGAACCCTGTTTCCTGTTAAGATGTTTATCAATGACAATGTGTGCACAGGGGGACATGGAACCTCATTAGTAATTCTAATTTTGCCCTGGCCTTGTGACCTTGCTCTGCCCTTCTGCCCTTGTGATATTTTATTGCCATTTGAACTGTGTCATCCCTGTGACCCACTCCCTATTCGTACACTCCTCCCCTTTTGAAATCCCTAATAAAAACTTGCTGGTTTTGCAGCTTGGGGGCATCAGGGAACCTGCTGGCATGTGATGTCACCCCCGGAGGCCCAGCTGTAAAATTTTTCTCTTTCGTACTCTTTCTCTTTGTTTCTCAGACAGGCCAACACTTAGGGAAAATAGAAAAGAACCTACATTGAAATATTGGGGGCTGGTTCTGCCGATGGTGAAGTAGGGTTTCCTCAGGTCAGGGGCCTCCATCTGATGGTACCTGAAGGGGATTTGGGATTTTATGAAGATATGAACAGGTTTATACAGAATGACCAAGCTCTGGGTCTTTAATTAGAACTTCACAAAACATCATATTGTGGGGGCAATTTTCAGTCACTTCTCATTAGGACACTAGTGACAACCCAGTAACCAAGGTCTAGATTATTTTCCTTCTTTTATGTTTGGGGACTCTTGTCCTGAAAGAACTTGCCCTGTACCATTGTATGCTGGATGTTTGAATCTTTCTTCAGTGTCCTTATTCCTCAATTCTTAATTCCTTATCTACAATCCTGTGAGAGTATCATCTTCAGATACTTCATAAATTCGCACCTCCCACTGTCCACCCCATACCGGTATTCTTAGTACGACGCAGCAGACACCTCTACGCCTCCACTAA
Source organism: Homo sapiens (assembly GCF_000001405.40). Taxonomy (NCBI): domain Eukaryota; kingdom Metazoa; phylum Chordata; class Mammalia; order Primates; family Hominidae; genus Homo; species Homo sapiens. The sequence continues at coordinate 32,742,943 of NC_000009.12, read as the reverse complement.
TGGGGATGGCCAGAAGTGGCCTCTGCTTTCTGTCCTTCCGGCCCAAGGGCTCTGTGTATTTTCTTGGACAACTGCCTTCTCTTTGTGGCATCAATGCCCTTCCCTTTCATCATGTCAATGGAGGAGGCATTTCAAACCTCTAGAGGGAAAGAGCCACTTTTTGTTAGAATATGAAGAGAAAACTAGTCTTGCATTTCCCGTTCACTGTGTGATATAATTAAACATCCCCCAGAAAGTGGGAAGCCTGGCTAACTTAAGAGCTTGCTGCTTAATCACTGTATGCTCAACTGTAAACCATGAGGCAGGAGTTCCTAACCTGCCTCCTGCTGATTGTCCTGGTTACCACTAGGCTTCCCCAACAGGCTGGACTGTTTAGTGACTGGACTTGTATCTGACGCCTAATGTAACCAATTCTATAGTTCTGCACTGCTTAAAATTGAATTCCACTAAAATGACATCAGAGACTGGGGCATTATGAAGGATTCCTGACAAAAGAAAATGAGATTTGACTGAAGCCTCCATGGTCTTTGACTCATGCTTAAATCACACCCAGTGCCTGCCCTCCCAGTTTGCATCCCATCAACCCAGCATTATTAGGAATTTCAGATCGTGGGATGAGTACTGAAAAAATGTGAACATTCCAGTTGTAGCTCTTTGCCCTGAACTTTGAAACCGAAGCATTCAGCATTGCTTCTTGCTCTTTCTTTGCCTTCTATTTGTCAAATGGACAAACTACACTAGGATGACCTGGTTTGGGACATGGAAATTATACCTGTCTATTCTGTAAGAAAGCCAAGTGGTTGGCTCAAATCATCCCACACAGGGTCTCCCTCATAAAGATTTTATTTCTACCAAGATATTCGAGAAGTACAGAAACCTTCCTTCTGCTGACTTGCAAATGTCATACCCTTCAGCAAAACAGAGCGTAAAGGTCCCTGACCAGGAGACTTCACAGGCTGGAAGTTTGAACTATTCCACTGCAGTTGGCAGGGAGCCCAGATGATGAAATCTGCACCCAAATGCCAATCTCACACAGTAGGAAACTTCAGGGAGAATGTACATAAAAAGGCATTTCTTTCGCAGCCCCTAATGAGTGCTTGTGGAGGCAAGAGGGAAACCACCGAGCTTAATGACTTCTGGTTGGGTAAGTTCCTGACACTGGGGAAGGCTCAGCCCATTGTTTGACATCACAGACTTATTCTACACAGGCCATCATTACCATTATCCAGGTGAACTACAAAGACAGAGCTTTGCATGCCTCATTTAATGCCTCATTTAAAGAAGAGTAGTTACAAGTATATGCATGGGTGTTTAAGAGAAGAATTGCAGTGTCTGAAGTGCTCACCCAGATAAAACCTAGATAGTCACCCTGCTGTGCATACACATAGTTCCAACTCTCTGGTGACTGCATTTCCCTCTCTGTTCTGGAGGAGAGTATGTAGCTGAATGTGATGGGACAAGCATAGACTCTGCAGCTAGTCACAGCAGCTCTGTGACTCAGTTACACCCTCACCTTGGCAAGTGATGTAACCTTTGTCAGCCTCCATTTCCTCATCTGTAAAATGGGGATAGTTATACCTTCCACACAGGATTGTTCCAAAATTTAAATGTATGAAAGAACAACTCCTGGCAAACAGTAGGAGTTAAGTGAACATAGCAGTTATTGTCACTGTTGTTTGGAGGGTTGGCATCCTCTTAATCTTCCCACACTTCTGCCTTGGCCCACAGAAGAGGCATTTTGGGCCGGGTGTGGTGGCTCACACCTGTAATCATAGCACTTTGGGAGGCTGAGATGGGCCCATTGCCTGAGCTCAGGAGTTTGAGACCAGCTTGGGCAACATGACAAAACCCCATCTCTATCAAAAATACAAAAAATTAGCCGGGCATAGTGGTGCACGCCTGTAGTCCCAGCTACTCAGGAGGCTAATGCAGGAGAATTGCTTGAGCCCGGGAAGGGGAGGCTGCAGCGAGCCAAGATTGTGCCACTGCACACTCCAGCCTGGGAGACAGAGTGAGACTCCATCTCAAAAAAAAAAAGAGGCATTTTGCTAGCAGCAGTCCTGGGGAGGAAACTTCCTTCCCGCTTCGTCCCCTCTTCACTTTCCTGTCAGGAACAACTTACCTGGTCAGGGATACTCACCAAGTATATGTTTCTGCTATTCTTGGCCCCATCTCTGAGGCCTAATCTCCCACAGCCATCCACATTTTTTTTTTTTTGCTTCACTTTTCCTTTTTTGTAAACAAATGATTTCAACCTGAAACTGCATCTGACACCATTGGTCTGGAGGCAGCCTAGAGGCTACTTTCTCTCTCTGATTCTGTTCTGCCATCTGTGGGTGTTGGGTGTTCTTTGATCCTCCACACATAAGTTGAGTAAGTGTCTACTCTGCAGACCCAACTGTTCCCATGTCAGACCCCCATGACCAGACCTGGAAGGAGGAAGCAGGAAGTCCCTGCCTGGACCACAGGAGTGAGCTTCAGTCTTAAATCCAGCTTTACTAGTATTAAAGCTGATACTATTTTGATCCTCATCTGGTTTCTTGCCTGTGTCTGTTCTCAATACCAGCGTCGGGTGGGAGTGTGATTAAATGAGCTCCCCCAAATTTCTAACGCCACTGTTAATAGTAGTAATATTAATCTATCCCCTTGGCATGTGACTGTCTGTTTTAATCTGTGGATTTGCTGACTGCCCCACAGTTCCTTCTGTAGCCTCTGGTATCCTTTTTTGGTTTTTCATACTTCAAGATATCACCTGAAGGAAGAGTTTCCTGGCTTGCCAGACTGGTTATAAAAATCCAGATAACAGAGATTCGTTTTTACTTTGGTCTTCAAGCCACTTGCCAGCAGAGCAAACTTAGAGTCTCGGATGACATGATAAAATATCTTTAATAAGCCAAGAATATTATGACTGTCATTTTGGTTGTAGCCTTGTCCAGTTGAAATGCACGGCTGGGCCTTTTATGCAGTCCTGAACAGTTGAATCCTACTCGATCAGGAGCAACTCAGGTATCAGCTTGACATTCTTGTCCCTATTTCATCACGGAGGGAGACGGCTTAGGCCTAGCCTAGGATTCAAAGGGACTCACAAAAGGGGCATTTAAATGCCACTCTGTTAATACCATCTTTGAGTTCTGAGTCTGACCGATGTATTGATACTTCATTGGTTTGGGTGGTCTTTGGAGGATTTTCTTTTTAGCAGGAATTCTTGACCCTTTAGGCCTATAAACAGACTGTCTCCAGTAATAACTTTGTCTCCCTGCTCAGATTCCCTTTCCCATCCAAGCCAAACTGTTAATAACCCACCAGCTTAGACTTCCTCCTTTACACCTCCCTTCCTGGCCCGCCAGTGTGCTCGCAAGATGAGTAGGGAGCCAGAACAGCCCCTGGCAAATGGGGAGAAAGCTGTTGGAAAGGGGTGCTGGAGGAAGGATTTGTGGGGAGGATTAGTGATGCGTGGCCATTGGACCCTGCAAGTGGGAAATGCTGTTCTGTGGCTGCACAAGACCTTCTTGGCACTCTGGCTCCCCAAAGGAAAGAGAAGAACCCCACTCTGAGAAGGAGGTCAGCCCTGTAGGATGGAGCCCTCTCCCTATGTTCTCCTAATCCTGCTCTGTTGAATTCTTGACTGAGTTCTATTGGGCTGTGAAGGTGTAACCTGGATTCATAAAATAATCCTGTCTGAATATGAGCCTGGGGCTGGGGAAAGGGTAGAGGAACTTCACCTACCATGAAGTGGTCTTCTTTATCCAAGGCTTAATAAGGCGACGTAGTTATTAAGATGTTCCTAGGACTAGCACAATCAGCATCACCCGACAACCTGTTAGAAAAGCAGATTATCAGGACCTACTCCAGACCTACCAAATCAGAAATTCTGGGCTTAGGTACCCCTGCAATCTGTGGTTTAACAAGCCCTGTAGGTGACTCTGAGGCACTCTAAAGTGTGAGAACCACTGGTCTAGTGAAATGGGTGAAACGTGACTCATGTTCTAGGTGAGTCACTGCCCAGGTGAATGGTGATTGGTTAATACAATTGCACACAAGTTCTATCCTTTAGAACCCCAGAAAAAGCTGGAGAATGAGAGATTCTACTGTGTGCTTGGATCTTCCCTTAAGGATGTTACTGCCAGTCCCACATTGGCCTAGATTCCTCAGGGACCAATTCTGTGCTGATCCCCTTTTTCAGAGGGAGTTGGCAGGGCCTTGCTGAGGCTTGTCCACTTTGGGGATATGCAGTCTTCTGACTCAGGACCTGCCTAGGGAATTGACTCTTTCCCAACCTGGAGGAGTCATATAGCTGGGTAGGACTCAACTCAGACTATTGTGAAAAGAGGGACCCCAAGAGGAGGAGGTGCATCCGATTTTTCCTGGATATTTCATGTAGCAGAAAGAATATGAGATTTGCGGCCAGGACAATGGAATTTATATTTTGAAACTGGCACTCACTAGCTGTGGAAACTTGTACCTCATCTCTCTGAGTCTCCATTTTCTTATCTGTATGATGAGAATAAGAATAATATCCAATTCCTAAGATGTTTGTGAGGATTAAATAAGATAATAAAAGTGAAATACTTGTATGTAAAATGCCTTGTGCCTATAGAAAGCTCAGTAAATGCTAAGCTGTTTTGTTGATAATTATCCTTCCAAGCTTCCAGGACTTTATTATGGGAGAAACCTGGGCAGCTCTGTGATAAGTGGACCACCAGCAAGACCCCATAAGCCCTCCCTATCTCTGTATACTTTCTTGTGGCTGATTCTTCACGTGAAGTTTCCCAACTATAATTACAGCCTAAGATAACAGGTCTCCACAAATTTCTCTCTCTTGCTTCTAGAGCAGACTATTTTATCCAAGGCTGCTGGGATTGTAGATGTAATTGATACTTAAATTAGCCCCTTGCATAAACATGTATCTCCCAATAAACTTTTTAGAATCGGAATAGGGGACCATCCAGAGATACTTTCATTTGTGTTACTCTTTCTATTTCAGGTGATTCTTAAGTTTTGATGGTTGGAGTAACTTGACTTCTGTTATTATCCAAAGCAGTATATTTCAACTGGGGGCAATGTCTAGAGACATTTCTGGTTTTCACAATGAGTGGGGGGTGCTGCTAGCATTAGATGGGTAGAGGCTGGAGATGCTGTTAAACAACCTACAATGCACCGTGCAGCCATCCCCAAGAAAGAATGATCTGGTCCAAAACAGTAGTAGTGCTGCTGTCGAGGAACCCTGATCTAAAGCAAGTTTGGGAAATATATTGAATTTTGGGGCTAATCCTAATCACTTGCTGTGTGTGCCTGGAGCACTGTATTTAGCAGGATTTTGCAGTTACATCTGGGTACTTGTGAGTGGCATGATTGTTTACAGATGTTCTTTGATTAGGGAACAGGAAAGAAGATAGGGGACTGGGTATTTCCCACACCAGGCCTGGAGCATTTTAAGCCTCACTTTCTACTCCAACCACCACTATCCATAGTGTCCACAGATTCCCAGGGAGGTGGTTGGGACTGAAGCTGTGTAAAATATCCCTTGTACTTCTTCAAAAACTCAAGGTCTTGAATAGGCTTTTCTTGGCCAATGAAGCGGAGACATTGCTCCCATATTGTGTGGTTAGTAATGCTTTCTTTAGTTCCTTTGGACCCGGAATTTCCCGAGGTAGGCAAATACCTCTATGAA